>NC_000003.12:120675270-120978301 GCF_000001405.40 Homo sapiens | reverse complement strand
AAGATGAAATGAATGAAATGTAGTGAGAAGGGAAGTTTAGAGAAAAAAGAATAAAAAGAAACGAACAAAGCCTCCAAGAAATATGGGACTAGGTGAAAAGACGGAATCTACATCTGATTGGTGTATCTGAAAGTGACAGGGAGAATGGAACCAAGTTGGAAAACACTCTGCAGGATATTATCCAGGAGAATTTCCCCAATCTAGCAAGGCAGGCCAACATTCACATTCAGGAAATACAGAGAATGCCACAAAGATCCTCCTTGAGAAGAGCAACTCCAAGACACATAATTGTCATATTCACCAAAGTTGAAATGAAGGAAAAAATGTTAAGGGCAGCCAGAGACAAAGGTCGGGTTACCCACAAAGGGAAGCCCATCAGACTAACAGCAGATCTCTTGGCAGAAAATCTGCAAGCCAGAAGAGAGTGGGGGCCAATATTCAACATTCTTAAAGAAAAGAATTTTCAACCCAGAATTTCATATCCAGCCAAACTAAGCTTCATAAATGAAGGAGAAATAAAATACTTCACAGACAAGCAAATGCTGAGAGATTTTGTCACCACCAGGCCTGCCCTAAAAGAGCTCCTGAAGGAAGCACTAAACATGGAAAGAAACAACTGGTACCAGCCACTGCAAAATCATGCCAAATTGTAAAGACCATCGAAGCTAGGAAGAAACTGCCTCAACTAAGGAGCAAAATAACCAGCTAACATCATAATGACAGGATCAAATTCACACATAACAATATTAACTTTCAATGTAAAAGGACTAAATGCTACAATTAAAAGACACAGACTGCCAAATTGGATAAACAGTCAAGACCCATCAGTGTGCTGTATTCAGGAAACCCATCTCACGTGCAGAGACAGATATAGGCTCAAAATAAAGGGATGAAGGAAGATCTACAAGCAAATGGAAAACAAAAAAAGGCAGGGGTTGCAATCCTACTCTCTGACAAAACAGACTTTAAACCAACAAAGATCAAAAGGGACAAAGAAGGCCATTACATAATGGTAAAGGGATCAATTCAACAAGAAGAGCTAACTATCCTAAATATATATGCACCCAATACAGGAGCACCCAGATTCATGAAGCAAGTCCTTACTGACCTACAAAGAGACTTAGACTCCCACACAATATTAATGGGAGACTTTAACACCCCACTGTCAACATTAGACAGATCAATGAGACAGAAAGGTAACAAGGATAACCAGGAATTGAACTCAGCTCTGCACCAAGTGGACCTAATAGACATCTACAGAACTCTCCACCCCAAATCAACAGAATATACATATTTTTCAGCACCACACCACACCTATTCCAAAATTGACCACATAGTTGGAAGTAAAGCTCTCCTCAGCAAATGTAAAAGAACAGAAATTATAACAAACTGTCTCTCAGACCACAGTGCAATCAAACTAAAACTCAGGGTTAAGAAACTCACTCAAAACCGCTCAACTACATGGAAACTGAACAACCTGCTCCTGAATGACTACTGGGTACATAACGAAATGAAGGCAGGAATAAAGATGTTCTTTGAAACCAGTGAGAACAAAGACACAACATACCAGAAACACTGGGACACATTCAAAGCAGTGTGTAGAGGAAAATTTATAGCACTAAATGCCCACAAGAGAAAGCAGGAAAGATCCAAAATTGACACCCTAACATCACAATTAAAAGAACTAGAAAAGCAAGAGCAAACACATTCAAAAGCTAGCAGAAGGCAAGAAATAACTAAAATCAGAGCAGAACTGAAGGAGATAGAGACATAAAAAACCCTTCAAAAAATTAATGAACCCAGGAGCTGATTTTTTGAAATGATCAACAAAATTGATACACTGCTAGCAAGACTACTAAAGAAGAAAAGAGAGAAGAATCAAATAGACACAATGAAAAATGATAGAGGGGATATCACCACCAATCCCACAGAAATACAAACTACTATCAGAGAATACTACAAACACCTCTACACAAATAAACTAGAAAATCTAGGAAAAATGGATAAATTCCTGGACACATACACCCTCCCAAGACTAAACCAGGAAGAAGTTGAATCTCTGAATAGACTAATAACAGGCTCTGAAACTGTGGCAATAATCAATAGCTTACCAACCAAAAAGAGTCCAGGACCAGATGGATTCACAGCCGAATTCTACCCGAGGTACAAGAGGAGCTGGTACCATTCCTTCTGAAACTATTCCAATCAATAGAAAAAGAGGAAAACCTCCCTAACTCATTTTATGAGGCCAGCATCATCCTGATACCAAAGCCTGACAGAGACACAACAAAAAAAAGAGAATTTTAGACCAATATCCTTGATGAACATTGATGCAAAAATCCTCAATAAAATACTGGCAAACAGAATCCAGCAGCACATCAAAAAGCTTATCCACCATGATCAAGTGGGCTTCATCCCTGGGATGCAAGGCTGGTTCAATATACACAAATCAATAAATGTAATCCAGCATATAAACAGAACCAAAGACAAAAACCACATGATTATCTCAATAGATGCAGAAAAGGCCTTTGACAAAATTCAACAACTCTTCATGCTAAAAACTCTCAATAAATTAGGTATTGATGGGACGTATCTCAAAATAATAAGAGCTATCTATGACAAACCTACAGCCAATATCGTACTGAATGGGCAAAAACTGGAAGCATTCCCTTTGAAAACTGGCACAAGACAGGGATGCCCTCTCTCACCACTCCTATTCAACATAGCGTTGGAAGTTCTGGCCAGGGCAATCAGGCAGGAGAAGGAAATAAAGGGTATTCAATTAGGAAAAGAGGAAGTCAAATTGTCTCTGTTTGCAGATGACATGAATTGTTATCTAGAAAACCCCATTGTCTCAGCCCAAAATCTCCTTAAGCTGATAAGCAACTTCAGCAAAGTCTCAGGATACAAAATCAATGTGCAAAAATCACAAGCATTCTTATACACCAATAACAGACAAACAAAGAGCCAAATCATGAGTGAACTCCCATTCACAATTGCTACAAAGAGAATAAAACACCTAGGAATCCAACTTACAAGGGACGTGAAGGACCTCTTCAAGGAGAACTACAAACCACTGCTCAAGGAAATAAAAGAGGATACAACCAAATGGAAGAATATTCCATGCTCATGAGTAGGAAGAAGCAATATCGTGAAAATGGCCACACTGCCCAAGGTAATTTATAGATTCAATGCCATCCCCATCAAACTACCAATGACTTTCTTCACAGAATTGGAAAAAACTACTTTAAAGTTCATACGGAACCAAAAAAGAGCCCGCATCGCCAAGTCAATCCTAAGCCAAAAGAACAAAGCTGGAGGCATCACGCTACCCGACTTCAAACTATACTACAAGGCTAAAGTAACCAAAACAGCATGGTACTGGTACCAAAACAGAGATATAGATCAATGGAACAGAACAGAGCCCTCAGAAATAACACCGCATATCTACAACTATCTGATCTTTGACAAACCTGACAAAAACAAGAAATGGGGAAAGGATTCCCTATTTAATAAATGGTGCTGGGAAAACTGGCTAGCCATATGTAGAAAGCTGAAACTGGATCTCTTCCTTACACCTTATACAAAAATTAATTCAAGATGGATTAAAGACTTAAACGTCAGACCTAAAACCATAAAAACCCTAGAAGAAAACCTACGCATTAACATTCAGGACATAGGCATGTGCAAGGACTTCATCTCTAAAACACCAAAAGCAATGGCAGCAAAAGCCAAAGTTGACAAATGGGATCTAATTAAACTAAAGAGCTTCTGCACAGCAAAAGAAAATACCATCAGAGTGAACAGGCAACCTAGAGCATGGGAGAATATTTTTGCAACCTACTCATCTGACAAAGGGCTAATATCCAGAATCTACAATGAACTCAAACAAATTTACAAGAAAAAAACAAACAACCCCATCAAAAAGTGGGCGAAGGACATGAACAGACACTTCTCAAAAGAAGACATTTATGCAGCCAAAAGACACATGAAAAAGTGCTCATCATCACTGGCCATCAGAGAAATGCAAATCAAAACCACAATGAGATACCATCTCACACCAGTTAGAATGGCAATCATTAAAAAGTCAGGAAACAACAGGTGCTAGAGAGGATGTGGAGAAATAGGAACACTTTTACACTGTTGGTGGGACTGTAAACTAGTTCAACCATTGTGGAAGTTAGTGTGGTGATTCCTCAGGGATCTAGAACTAGAAATACCATTTGACCCAGCCATCCCATTACTCGGTATATACCCAAAGGACTATAAATCATGCTGCTATAAAGACACATGCACACGTATGTTTATTGCGGCACTATTCATAATAGCAAAGACTTGGAACCAACCCAAATGTCCAACAATGATTGACTGGATTAAGAAAATGTGGCATATATACACCATGGAATACTATGCAGCCATAAAAAGGATGAGTTCATGTCCTTTGTAGGGAATGGATGAAATTGGAAATCATCATTCTCAGTAAACTATCGCAAGAACAAAAAACCAAACACCGCATGTTCTCACTCATAGGTGGGAATTGAACAATGAGAACACATGGACACAGGAAGGGGAACATCACACTCTGGGGACTGTTGTGGGGTGGGGGGATGGGGGAGGGATAGCATTAGGAGATTTACCTAATGCTAAATGACAAGTTAATGGGTGCAGCACACCAGAATGGCACAAGTATACATATGTAACTAACCTGCACATTGTGCACATGTACCCTAAAACTAAAGTATAATAAAAAAATATAAAGAATCAAAGAAATGAAAAGTTAGTATTCTGAAAATATTTTAGAAAATGATAGACTGCTAGCTAGATTAACCAAGAATAAAAAAGAGAAGATTCAAATAAGCATAATTAGAAATGGCAATTTCTGACATTACAACTGACATTATAGAAATGCAAAAAAAAATCACCAGAGACCATTATGAGCACCTCTACACTCTCAAACTAAAAACCAAGAGGAAGTGAATAAACTCTTGAAAACATATAACTGCCCGAGATTGAACTAGGATGAAATAGAAATCAAGAAAATACCAATAATGAGCAGTAAAGTCAATCAGTAATTTAAGAATCTCCTACGAAAATAAAAGCCTAGGACCAGACAAATTCACAGCTGAATTATACCACATTTACAAAAAAGAACTTATGGTGGTTCTACTAAAGTTATGCCAAAATATCGAGAAGGGAATCCTACATAACTCATTCTAGGAAACCAGTATCATTTTGATACCAAAGCCAGGCAGGGACACACAACAAAAAGGAAAACTATAGATCAATATCTCTGATGAACAGAGTTGCAAAAACTCCTCAACAAAATAGTAGCAAACCAAATTCAACAGCACATCAAGAAGATAATACACCACAATAGAGTGAGTTTTATTCCAGAATTGCAAGGACGATTCAACATATGCAAATCAATAAATTTGATTCACCACATAAACTGAATTAAAAACATAAAAACTACCTGATAATCTCAATAGATGAAGAAAAAGCATTAGATAATATCCAGGACCCCTTCATGATAACAATTCTCAACAAACTAGGCATACAAGGAGCATATCTCAAAATTATAAAAGCTGTATACAACAAATCCACAGCCAACATCATACTCAATGAGGTAGAGTTGAAAGCATTCCCCCTAACAACTGGAAAAGACAAGAATGCCAGCTTCCAGCACTCCTATTCAACATAGTACTGGAAGTCCCAGCTAGAGTAACAAAAGAGAGAAAGAAATAAGAGGCATGCAAACTGGAAAAGAGAAAGTCAAATTATCTCTGTTCACTGATGACATATTCTTATATCTACAAAACCCTAAATGCTCCTCCAAAAGACTCCTAGATTTGATAGATGAATTCAGTAAAGTTTCAGAATATAAAAATCATTGTATAAAAATCAAAACCATTTATATACACCAATAATGATGAAGCTGAGAAGCAAATCAAGAATTCAATCGGATTTGCAATGGCTAGAAAAATGTATATCTAGAAATACATTTAACCAAGGAGGTGAAAGATCTCTACAAGGAGAACTACAAAACAACAATGAAAGAAATCATAGATGACACAAATAATGGAAAAACATCCATGCTTATAGATTGGAAGAATCAATATCATTAAAATGACCATACTGCCCAAATCAATGTACATATTCAATGCAATTCCTATCAAATTACCAATGCCAACATCATTCCCCATAGAATAAGAATAATTGTAAAATTCATATAAACCAAAAAAATGTCCCAATAGCCAAAGAAATTCTAAGCAAAAAGAATAAAGCTAGAGACATCACATTCCCCGTTTGTCACAGTAGGTCACAGCACTGGCCACAATAGCAAAGTCATGGAATCAATCTAAGTGCTCATCAATGAATGATATGAAGGGTTGGTTAAAAAACAGTCATATACACTTCTGTGTGTGTGTGCATGCATGTGTGCGCATGGATATTATAATAGTATATTATACCAGTATTCCATGGCACAGACATATATATATATGTGTGTATATATATATATACATACACATATATACACATATATAAAATGTGATATATATATACACACATATATGTGTGTGTACATATATGTATTATTCCATGGTGCTTATATATGTGTGTATATAGATGAATGTATATGTGTGTGTGTGTGTGTGTGTGTGTATGTATGCATGTGCCATGGAATACTACTCAGCCATAAAAAGAATAAAGTCGTGTATTTTGCAGCAATATGGATGGAACTGGAGGCCACTATCCTAAGATGTGAAATGACTCAGAAATAGAAAGAAATAGAAAGTCAAAAACCACATGTTCTCACTAACCACATGTTTAGCAGAAGCTAAACAGTGGGTACACATAGACACACAGAGTTGAATAATAGACATTGGAGGCTCCAAAAGGTGGGATGGAGTTAAGGAGTTGGGGGGGGTGCGGGTGAAGGATAAAATAGTACCTACTGAGTACAATGTACACTACTTGGGTGACGGGTACAAAATCCTCAATTTCTCCACTACTCAATATATCCATGTAACAAAATTGCACTTGAAAAATTTACAAAAAAATTTTCTTAAATAAATAAAATTGTAAAAGCAACTGACTGGTACCATAAGGCTGCAGAGAACGCAATCTGCAGGAAGGCCCAAATTTCTAACCAGATTTTTCCCAATGCCCAGATGCTCAATCTGGAACCTCCCCCCTACAGAGAAATAACTAAAATGTCAGAATTAAGTCCTAGTTTCTGCTTAAGTCTTCCCCAGACTGGGAAACAATGGCAGGGCTACAATACAGTTCTGGGGCAATGTCTAACATTTGGTGCTCACTGTAAGTGTTCCCCAGTTCAGGAAACAACAGGGCAGGGTTTTAATTCCAGAGCAGCATTTAAGTTCTGTTGTTCACTGTAAGTCTTCCCCAGACCAGACAACAATGGAAGAGCAATAAGTTAGTTCCAGTGAATTGTTTTAGTTCCTGTGCTCAATATAAGTTCCCCTAGAATGGAAAAAAACAGCAGGCCAGTGTTCAGGAGACACGAAGAAAAAGACCTGGAAAGCACATGTAAAAAAAATAATAATAATGGTTTAAAAATTCCAAAATCTAGAGAAAGAAGACATCGTCCAGGTATAGGAAGTTCAGGGGCCACCCATCAAATTCAACCCAAAGGAGAAATCTCTAAGGCATATCATAATCAGTGAAATGAAAAGACAGGATACTCAAAGCAACAAAAGAAAAGAAACATCATATTGAACAGCATCCTGAATACAGATTGCAGCAGATTTCTCAGCAGAAATCCTGCTGTCCAGATGATAATGGGATGTTATATTGAAAAAGAGATGGGAAAAATTGCCATCCAAAAATACTGTACCCAGCAAAAGTATCATTTAAACACATTCAAAGATTCCCAAACAAACAGAAGCTGAGAGAATTCATCAAAATGTGACCTGTCTTACAAGAAATACTAAAAGCTATTCAATCTAAAATAAATGGGCACTAGTGTATAATAAGAAAACATTTGAAGGTGTAAAATTCACTGATAAAAGAAAAAAAGACTAATTCAGAATATTCTAAAACTGTAATTTGAATAAGTAAGCCATTTACATCTTGAGTATGAAGGCTAAAAGACAAAAACCTATTAAAATCAATAATTACTACAATAACTGGTTAAGAAACAGATAATATAAAAAGACGTAAACTGAAACACCAATAAATCAAATTATTGGGGGGGTGTTAAAGGGTAGGGTTTGGTTTTCTTATAATACTTTTCTTCTCTATGCAATAAAAGTTAAGTCATAATCAGTTTTAAATGACCTGATTTTTTGGAAGCCTCATAGTAACCACAATGCAAAAACCTGTAATAGACTAAAAATAAGTAGCACAAAATCAAAACATACTACCAGAGAAATTCACTTAACCACAAAGGAAAACAGTAACAGAGGAAAACAGAAAGAAAGTATCTACAAAACAACCAGAAAACAAGTAATAAAATGTAAACAGAAAATAATCTTGAAGGTAAGTGGACAAAAGTCTTCAATTAAAAGAGTGCAAGCCACATGTAGAAAAATAAAACTGGATCTCCATCTCTCACTTTACACAAAAATCAAGTCAATATAGATAAAAGACTTAAATATAAGACCTGAAACGATAAAAATTCTACAAGATAACTTTGGAAAAACTCCTCAAGACATTGACTTAGGCAAGAATTCATGCCTAAGACTCCAAAAGCAAATACAACAAAACCAAAAATAAATGGGACCTAATTAAACTAAAAAGCTCTGTAGAGCAAAAGAAATAATCAGCAAACAGACAACCCACAGAGTGAAAGAAAATCTTCACAAACTATCCAGCCAACAAAGGACTAGTATCCAGAATCTACAAGGAACTCAAACAAATTAACAAGAAAAAAAAAAAAAAACACAAATAATCCCATCGAAAAATGAGCAAAGGACATGAATAGATAATTCTCAAAAAAGATACACAACCAACCAACAAACATATGAAAAAACACTCAACATCACTAATTATCAGGGAAATGCAAATTAAAACCATGATGAGATTACACCTTACTCCTGCAAGCATGGCTATAAATTAAAAGTTAAAAAAAAAAATAGATGTTGGCATGGATGTGGTAAAAAGGGAACACTTTTACACTGCTGATAGGAATGTAAATTAGTACAAACACTATGGAAAACAGTATAGACGTTCCTTAAAGAACCACAAGTAAAATTACCATTTGATCTAGCAATCCCACTACTGAGTATCTACCCAAAGGAAAATAAGTCATTATATGAAAAAGATGCATGCACACACGTTTATGGTGGCACAATTCACAATTGCAAAGATATGGAACTAACCTAAGTGTCTATCAACCAACAAGTAGATAAAGAAAAAATGGCATATATACAAATGCTACTCAGCCATAAAAAGGAATGACATAATGCCTCTTGCAGGAACTTAGATGGAGCGGGAGGCCATTATTCTAAGTGAAGTAACTCAGGAATAAAGAATCAAATATCATATGTTTTAAGTGAGAGCTAAGCTATGAGGATGCAAAGGCATAAGAGTGATATAATGGACTTTGGATACTCAGAACGGGGGAGGGATAAAAGACTATATATTGGGTATAGTATACAATGCTCAGGTAACAGGTGCACTAAAATATCAGAAATCACCACTAAAAAACTTATCTATGTAACCAGAAACAATCTGTACCCCCAAAGCTTTTGAAATTTATTTTAAAAATTAAAATGCAGGGTGGCTGAATGGATTTTTAAAACATCCAACTATATACTGTCTACAAGAAACTCTATTTACCAGTATAGACATGCACAAACTGAAAGTGAAGGGATGAATAAGATATTACATGCAAATGGAAGCCAACATACAGCAGCAGTAGCTATACTTATATCAGACAAAATAAAATTTAGTCAAGAATGATAAAAAAAGATACAGAAGGTCATTATATGATGATGAAGGGGTCAATACAATAACAGGATATTACAGTTATAAAGATATATGCAGTCAACACCAGAGCACCCAAATATAAAAGACAAATATTAACAGACCTAAAGAGAGAGACTGACTGTGACACAATAACAGTAGAAAACCACAGCACTCCATGTTCAGCATTAGACAGATCATCTGAACAGAAAATCAACTAAGAAACATCAGAGCTAAACTGAACTCTTGACCAAATGGACCAAACAGACATTTATAGAACATTGCATCCAATAGCCGCAGAATACACATTTTTCTCAACAGCACATGCAACATTCTCTAGGACAGACCATATGTTAGGTCACGAAACAAATCTTAATAAATTTTTAGAAGTCAAAACTATTAAATAACTTTTCTGACCATAATGGGATAAAATTAGAAGTAAACCACAGAAGGAATATCAGAAACTGTACAAAATCATAATTATTAAGCAACATATTCCTAAACAATGAATGGTTTAATGAAGAAGTTTAAAAGAAAATTGAAAATTTTCTTGAGACAAATTAAAATGGAAACACAACATACTAAAACCTATGAAATACAGCAAAAGCAGTTCTAAGAAGAAAGTTGTTTATAGCAATAAAAAGCCTACATCATAAAAATTAGAAAGACTTCAAATGAACAGCCTAACACTGCACCTCAAGAAATGGAAAGCAAGAAAAATTCAAACCCAAAATTAGTAGAAGGAAAGAAATAATAAACATTAGAGTATAAAGATATAAAATTGAGACTAAACAAATATCAACAAAATAAAAATGATGTTTTGAAAAAATAAACGAAATTGAAAACCTTTAGCTAGAGTAAGAACAAAAGAGAGACCTAAAAATCCCAGCCCAGGCTTGCTAGGCCAAGCAGCTTAGCGCTACTCTAGAAAATCACACAACTGAAGATGGCCGAATAGGAACAACTCCAGTCTGCAGCTCCCAGTGTGATTGACACAGAAGATGGGTGATTTCTGCATTTCCAACTGAGGTACCTGCTTAATCTCACTGGGACTGGTTGGACAGTGGGTGCAGCCCACGGAGGGTGAGCTGAAGCAGGGTGATGCATTGTCTCACCCAGGAAGTGCAAGGGGAGGGGAAATTTCCCTTTCCTAGCCAAGGGAAGCGGTGACAGACTACATGGAAAAACAGGACACTCCCCGACCAAATACTGCACTTTTCCCAAGGTCTTAAAAACCGGCAGACAAGGCGATTCTCTCTCGTGCCTGGCTCAGTGGGTCCCACACCCACTGAGCCTTGCTCACTGCTAGCACAGCAGTCTGAGGTTGATCTGCCAAGCGGCAGCCTGGCTAGGGGAAGGGCGTCCACCATTGCTGAAGCTTGAGTAGGTAAACAAAGCAACCAGGAAGCTAGAATTGGGCAGAGCCCACTGCAGCTCAACAAGCTCTACTGCCTCTAGAATCCAACTCTCTGGGCAGGGTATAGCTGAACAAAAGGCAGCAGACAACTTCTGCAGACTTAAACGCCCCTGTCTGATAGCTCTGAAGAGAGCAGTGATTCTCCCAGCACAGCATTTGAGCTCTGAGAACGGACACACTGCCTCCTCAAGTGGGTCCCTGACCCCCTTGTAGCCTAAGTGGAACACACCTCCCAGTAGGGGCCAACACCTCATATAGACAGCTGCCACTCTGGGATGAAGCTTCCAGAGGAAGGATCAGGCAGCAATATTTGCTGTTCTGCAATATTTGCTGTTCTGCAGCCTCCAATGGTGATACCCAGGCAAACAGGACCTGGAGAGGAATTCCAGCAAACTCCAAAAGACCTGCAGTTGAGGGACCTGACTGTTAGAAGGAAAACTAACAAACAGAAAGGAATAGCATCAACATCAACAAAAAGGTCATCTACACCAAAACCCCATCTCTAGGTCACCAGCATTAAATACCAAAGGTAGATAAAGCCACAAAGATGGGGAGAAACCAGAGCAGAAAAGCTGAAAATTCTAAAAATCAAACTGCCACTTCCCCTCCAAAGGATCACAGCTCCTCGCCAGCAACGGAACAAAGCTGGACGGAGAATGACTTTGACAAGTTGACAGAAGTAGGCTTCGGAAGGTCAGTAATAACAAACTTCTCCGAGCTAAAGGAGGATGTTTGAACCCATTGCAAGGAAGCTAAAAACCTTGACAAAAGATAAGATGAATGGCTAACTAGAATAAACAGTGTATAGAAGACCTTAAATGACCTGATGGAGCTGAAAACCATGGCACAAGAACTTTGTGACGCATGCACAAGCTTCAAAAGCTGATTCGATCAAGTGGAAGAAAGGGTATCAGTGATGGAAGATCAAAATAATGAAATAAAGTCACAGGAGAAGTTTAGAGAAAAAAAAGAGTGAAAAGAAACGAACAAAGCCTTTAAGAAATATGGGACTATGTGAAGAGACCAATTCTACATTTGATTGGTGTATCTGAAAGTGATGGGGAGAATGGCACCAAGTTGGAAAACACTCTTCAGGTTATTATCCAGGAGAATTTCCCCAACCTAGCAAGACAAGCCAACACTCAATTTCAGGAAATAAAGAGAAGATCATAAAGATACTCTTTGAGAAGAGCAACCCCAAGACACATAACTGTCAGATTCAACAAGGTTGAAATGAAGGAAAAAATGTTAAGGGCAGCCAGAGAGAAAGGTCAAGTTACCCACAAAGGGAAGCCCATCAGACTAACAACAGATCTCTCAGCAGAAAGCCTACAAGCCAGAAGAGAGTGGGGGCCAATATCCAACATTCTTACAGAAAAGAATTTTCAATGGAGAATATCATATCCAGCCAAACTAGGCTTCATAAATGAAGGAGAATTAAAATTCTTTACAGACAAGCAAATGCTCAGAAATTTTGTCACACCAGGCCTGCCTTAAAAGAGCTCCTCAAGGAAGCACTAAACATAGAAAGAAACAACCAGTATCAGCCACTGCAAAAACAGGCCAAATTATAAAGACCATCGATGCTATGAAGAAACTGCATCAATTAGCTGACAAAACAACCAGTGAACATCATGACAGAATCAAATTCACAGATAACAGTATTAACCTTAAATGTAAATGGGCTAAATGCCCCAATTAAAAGACACAGACTGGCAAATTGGATAAACAGTCAACACCCATCAGTGTGCTGTATTCAGGAAACCCATCTCATATGCAAAGACACACATAGGCTCAAAATAAAGAGATGGAGGAAGATCTACCAAGCAAATGGAAAACAAACAAGCAAAAAAAACCAGGGGTTGCAATCCTAGTCTCTAATAAAACAGACTTTAAACCAACAAAGATCAAAAGAGACAAAGAAGGCCATTACATAATGGTAAAGGGATCAATTCAACAAGAAGAGCTAACTACTGTAAATATATATGCACCCAAAACAGGAGCACCCAGATTCATACAGCAAGTCCTTAGAGACATACAAAGAGACTTAGACTCCCACACAATAATAATGGGAGATTTTAACACCCCACTGTCAAAATTAGACAGATCAATGAGACAGAAGGTTAACAAGGATGTCCAGGACCTGAACTCAGATCTGCAACAAGCAGACCTAATAGACATCTACAGAACTCTCCACCCCAAATCAACAGAATATACATTCTTTTCAGCACCACATCACACTTGTTTCAAAATTGGCCACATAATTGGAACTAAAGCACTCCTCAGCAATTGTAAAAGAACAGAAATTACAACAAACTGTCTCTCAGACCACAGTGCAATCAAATTAGAACTCAGGATTAAGAAATTCACTCAAAACCGCACAACCACATGGAACTGAACAACTTGCTCCTGACTGACTACTGGGTAAATAACGAAATGAAGGCAGAAATAAAGATGTTCTTTGAAACCAATGAGAACAAAGACACAACATACCAGAATCTCTGGGACACATTTAAGCAGTGTATAGAGGGTATGTATAGCACTAAAAGCCCACAAGAGAAGGAAGGAAAGATCTAAAATCGACACCTTAACATCACACTTAATATAACTAGAGAAGCAAGAGCAAACAAATTCAAAAGCTAGCAGAAGGCAAGAAATAACTAAGATCAGAGCAGAACTGAAGGAGATAGAGACACAAAAAACCCTTCAAAACATCAATGAATCCAGGAGCTGCTTTTTTGGAAAAGATCAACAAAATTGATAGACCACTAGCAAGACTAATAAAGAAGAAAAGAGAGAAGAATCAAATACATGCAATAAAAAATGATAAAAAGAATATCACCACCGATCCTGCAGAAATACAAACTACCATCAGAAAATACTGTAAACAACTCTATGCAAATAAACTAGAAAATCTAGAAGAAATGGATAAATTCCTCGACACATACACCCTCGCAACACTAAGCCAGGAAGAAGTCGAATCTCTGAATAGACCAATAACAGGATCTGAAATTGAGGCAATAATTAATAGCCTACCAACCAAAAACAATCCAGGACCAGACGGATTCAAAGCAGAATACTACCAGAGGTACTAAGAGGAGCTGGTATCATTCCTTCTGAAAGTATTTCAATCAATAGAAAAAGAGGAAATCCTCCCAAATTCATTTTATGAGGCCAATATTATCCCGATACAAAAGCCTGGCAGGGACACAACAATAAAAGAGAATTTTAGACCACTATCCCTGATGAATATTGCTGCAAAAATCCTCAATAAAATACTGGCAAAACAAATCCAGCAGCACATCAAAAAGCTTATCCACCATGATCAAGTCAGCTTCATCCCTGGGATGCAAGACTGGTTCAACATATGCAAATCAATAAACATAATCCATCAAATAAACAGAACAAATGACAAAAACCACATGATTATCTCAATAGATGCAAAAAAGACCTTTGACAAAACTCAACACCCTTTCATGCTAAAAACTCTCAATAAACTAGGTATTGATGGCACATATCTCAAAATAATAAGAGCTATTTATGACATACTGCCAATATCATACTGAATGGGCAAAAACTGGAAGCATTCCCTTTGAAAACTGGTACAAGACAGAGATGCCCTTTCTCACTATTCCTATTCAACATAATGTTGGAAGTTCTGGCCAGGGCAATCAAACAAGAGAAAGAAATAAAGGGCATTCAATTGGGAAAAGAGGAAGTCAAATTGTCCCTGTTTGCAGATGACATGATTGTATATTTAGAAAACCCCATTGCCTCAGCCCAAAATCTCCTTAAGCTGATAAGCAACTTCAGCAAAGTCTCAGGATACAAAATAAATCTGCAAAAATCAAAAGCATTCTTATACACCATTAACAGACAAACAGAGAGCCAAATCATGAGTGAACTCCCATTTACAACGGCTACAAAGAGAATAAAATACCTAGGAATCCAACTAACAAGGGATGTGAAGGACTTCTTGAAGAAGAACTACAAACCACTGCTCAATGAAATAAAAGAGGACACAAACAAATGGAAGAATATTCCATGCTCATGGATAGGAAGAATCAATATAGTGAAAATGGCTATACTGCCCAAGGTAATTTATAGATTCAATGCCATCCCCATCAAGCTACCAATGACTTTCTTCACAGAATTGGAAAAACTATTTAAAGTTCATATGGAACCAAAAAAGGGCCTGCATTGCCAAGACAATTCTAAGCAAAATGAACAAAGCTGGAGCCATCATGCTACCTGACTTCAAACTATACTACAAGGCTACAGTAAGCAAAACAGCATGGTACTGGTACCAAAACAGAGATATAGATCAATGGAACAGAACAGAGCCCTCAGAAATAATGCCACACATCTACAACCATCTGATCTTTGACAAATCTGACAAAAACACGAAATGGGGAAAGGATTCCCTATTTAATAAATGATGCTGGGAAAACTGGCTAGCCATATGTAGAAAGCTGAAACTGGATCTCTTCCTTACACCTTACACAAAAATTAATTCAAGATGGATTAAAGAATTACATGTGAGACCTAAAACCATAAAAACCCTAGAAGAAAACCTAGGCAATACCATTCAGGATATAGGCATGGGCAAGGAATTCATGACTAAAACACCAAAAGCAATGGCAACAAAAGCCAAAATTGACAAATGGGATCTAATTAAACTAAAGAGCTTCTACACAGCAAAAGAAACTACCATCAGAATGAACAGGCAACCTATAGAATGGAAGAAAAATTTTGCAATCTACCTATCTGACAAAGGGCTAATATCCAGAATCTACAAAGAACTCAAACAAAAATTTACCAGAAAAAAACAAACAACCCCATCGAAAAGTGGGCAAATGATATGAACAGACACTTCTCAAAAGAAGACATTTACGCAGCCAAAAGACACATGAAAAAATGCTCATCATCACTGGTCATCAGAGAAATGAAATTCAAACCCACAATGAGATACCATCTCATGCCAGTTGGAATGGCAATCATTAAAAAGTCAGGAAACAACAGATGTTGGGGAGGATGTGGAGAAATAGGAATGCATTTACACTGTTGGTGGGAGTGTAAACTAGTTCAACTATTGTGGAAGACAGTGTGGCGATTCCTCAAGGATCTAGAACTACAAGTACCTTTTGACCCAGCCATCCCATTACTGGGTATAGACCCAAAGGATTATCAATCATACTACTATAAAGACACATGCACACGTATGTTTATGGTGGCACTATTCACAACAGCAAAGACTTGGAAGCATCCCAAATGTCCATCAATGATAGACTGGATTAAGAAAATATGGCACATATACACCATGGAATACTATGTAGCCATAAAAAAGGATGAGTTCTAGCCCTTCGCAGGGACATGGATGAAGCTGGAAACCAGCATTCTCAGCAAACTATCGCAAGGACAGAAAACCAAACACTGCGTGTTCTCACTTATAGAGGGGAATTGAACAATGAGATCACTCACACACGGGGCGGGGAACATCACACACTGGGGCCTCGTTGGGGGACGAGGGCTGGGGGAGGGATAGCATTAGGAGAAATACCTAATGTAAATGATGAGTTGATGGGTGCAGCTACAAACATGGTACACGTATACCTATGTATCAAACCTGCACGTTGTGCACGTGTACCCTAGAACTTAAAGTATAATTAAAAAAAAAAAACAAAAAAAGAAAGACTAAAGTATAGCCTCTAATTGACCTCAGTGAACAAAGAGATGTATCACGGGGGAAAAAAAAAACTAAATAAAATCAAAAACTAAAAAGGAGATATTATATTTCATACCACAGAAATACAAAGGCTCATTAGAAACTATTACGAACAACTATGCACCAACAAATTTTAAAACTTCAAAGAAATTGATAAATTTCTAGACATATACAACCTACCAAGATTGAAATATGAAGAAATAGATATCCTGAACAGATCAAAAATGAGTAATAAGATTTAAACAGTAATTTAAAAAAAATCTTTCACCAAAGAAAATCCCAAGACCTGATAGTATCATGGCTGAATTCCTTTTTTTTTTATTATACTTTAAGTTTTAGGGTACATGTGCACAACGTGCAGGTTTGTTACATATGTATACATGTGCCATGCTGGTGTGCTGCACCCATTAACTCGTCATTTACATTACGTATATCTCCTAATGCTATCCCTCCCCCCTGCCCCCACCCCACAACAGGCCCCAGGGTGTGATGTTCCCCTTCCTGTGTCCAAGTGTTCTCATTGTTCAATTCCCACCTATGAGTGAGAACACGCGGTATTTGGTTTTTCTGTCCTTGCCATAGTTTGCTGAGAATGATGGTTTCCAACTTCATCCATGTCCCTACAAAGGACATGAACTCATCCTTCTTTATGGCAGCATAGTATTCCATGGTGTATATGTGTCATATTTTCTTAATCCAGTCTATCATTGATGGACATTTGGGTTGGTTCCAAGTCTTTGCTATTATGAATAGTGCCACAATAAACATACGTGTGCATGTGTTTTTATACCAGCATGATTTATACTCCTTTCGGTATATACCCCGTAATGGGATGGCTGGGTCAAATGGTATTTCTAGTTCTAGATCCCTGAGGAATCGCCACACTGACTTCCACAATGGTTGAACTAGTTTACAGTCCCACCAACAGTGTAAAAGTGTTCCTATTTCTCCACATCCTCTCCAGCACCTGTTGTTTCCTGACTTTTTAATGATTGCCATTCTAACTGGCATGAGATGGTATCTCATTGTGGTTTTGATTTGCATTTCTCTGTTGCCCAGTGATGATGAGCATTTTTTTCATGTATCTTTGGGCTGCATAAATGTCTTCTTTTGAGAAGTGTCTGTTCATATCATTTGCCCACTTTTCGATGGGGTTGTTTGTTTTTTTCTGGTAAATTTTTGTTTGAGTTCTTTGTAGATTCTGGATATTAGCCCTTTGTCAGATAGGTAGATTGCAAAAATTTTCTTCCATTCTATAGGTTGCCTGTTCATTCTGATGGTAGTTTCTTTTGCTGTGTAGAAGCTCTTTAGTTTAATTAGATCCCATTTGTCAATTTTGGCTTTTGTTGCCATTGCTTTTGGTGTTTTAGTCATGAAGTCCTTGCCCATGCCTATGTCCTGAATGGTATTGCCTAGGTTTTCTTCTAGGGTTTTTATGGTTTTAGGTCTAACATTTAATTCTTTAATCCATCTTGAATTAATTTTTGTATAAGGTGTAAGGAAGGGATCCAGTTTCAGCTTTCTACATATGGCTAGCCAGTTTTCCCACCAGCATCATTTATAAAATAGGGAATCCTTTCCCCCTTTCTTGTTTTTGTCAGATTTGTCAAAGATCAGATGGTTGTAGATGTGTGGCATTATTTCTGAGGCCTCTGTTCTGTTCCATTGGTCTATATCTCTGTTTTGGTACCAGTACCATGCTGTTTTGCTTACTGTAGCCTTGTAGTATAGTTTGAAGTCAGGTAGCATGATGCCTCCAGCTTTGTTCTGTTGGCTTAGGATTGACTTGGCAATGTGGGATCTTTTTTGGTTCCATATGAACTTTAAAGTAGTTTTTTCCAGTTCTGTGAAGAAAGTCATTGGTAGCTTGATGGGGATGGCATTGAATCTATAAATTACCTTGAGCAGTATGGCCAGTTTCAAGACATTGATTCTTCCTAACCATGAGCATGGAATGTTCTTCCATTTGTTTGTATCCTCTTTAAGTTCATTGAGCAGTGGTTTGTAGTTCTCCTTGAAGAGGTCCTTCACGTCCCTTGTAAGTTGGATTCCTAGGTATTTTATTCTCTTTGAAGCAATTGTGAATGGGAGTTCACTCATGATTTGGCTCTCTGTCTGTTTTTGGTGTATAAGAATGCTTGTGATTTTTGCACATTGATTTTGTATCCTGAGACTTTGCTGAAGTTGCTTATCAGCTTATGGAGATTTTGGGCTGAGATGATGGGGATTTCTAGATATACAATCATGTCACCTGCAAACAGGGACAATTTGAATTCCTCTTTTCCTAATTGAATACTCTTTATTTCCTTCTCCTGCCTAATTGCCCTGGCCAGAACTTCCAACACTATGTTGAATAGGAGTGGTGAGAGAGGGCATCCCTGTCTTGTGCCAGTTTTCAAAGGGAATGCTTCCAGTTTTTGCCCATTCAGTATAATATTGGCTGTGGGTTTGTCATAGATAGCTCTTATTATTTAGAGATACGTCCCATCAATACCTAATTTATTGAGAGTTTTTAGCATGAAGGGCTGTTGAATTTTGTCAAAGGCCTTTTCTGCATCTATTGAGATAATCATGTGGTTTTTGTCTTTGGTTCTGTTTATATGCTGGATTACATTTATTGATTTGCATATGTTGAACCAGACTTGCATCCCAGGGATGAAGCCCACTTGATCATGGTGGATAAGCTTTTTGATATGTTGCTGGATTCGGTTTGTATTATATTGAGGATTTTTGCATTGATCTTCATCAGGGATACTGGTCTAAAATTCTATTTTTTTGTTGTGTCTCTGTCAGCCTTTGGTATCAGGATGATGCTGGCCTGATAAAATGAGTTAGGGAGGATTCCCTCTTTTTCTATTGATTGGAATAGTTTCAGAAGGAATGGTACCAGCTCCTCCTTGTACCTCTGGTAGAATTCGGCTGTGAATCCATCTGGTCCTGGACTTTTTTTGGTTGGTAAGCTATTAATTATTGCCTCAATTTCAGATCCTGTTATTGGTGTATTCAGAGATTCAATTTCTTCCTGGTTTAGTCTTGGGAGGGTGTATGTGTCCAGGAATTTATCCATTTCTTCTAGATTTTCTAGTTTATTTGCATAGAGTTGTTTATAGTATTCTGTGATGGTAGTTTGTATTTCTGCAGGATCGGTGGTGATATCCCCTTTATCACTTTTTATTGTGTCTATTTGACTCTTCTCCCTTTTCTTCTTTATTAGTCTTGCTAGCGGTCTATCAATTTTGTTGATCTTTTCAAAAAACCAGCTCCTGGATTCGTTGATTTTTTGAAAGGTTTTTTGTGTCTCTATGTCCTTCAGTTCTGCTCTGATCTTAGTTATTTCTTGTCTCTGCTAGCTTTTGAATGTATTTACTCTTGCTTCTCTAGTTCTTTTAATTGTGATGTTAAGGCATCAATTTTAGATCTTTCCTGCTTTCTCTTGTGGGCATTTAGTGCTATAAATTTCCCTCTACACACTGCTTTAAATGTGTCCCAGAGATCCTGGTATGTTGTATCTTTGTTCTCGTTGGTTTCAAAGAACATCTTTATTGCTACCTTCATTTCGTTATGTACTCAGTAGTAATTCAGAAGTCTACCAAACATTTAAAGAACTAATACTACTTCTACTCAAACTCTTAAGAAAAAAATTGAAAAGCAGGGAATACTTTCAATCTCATCTATGAGGCCGGCATTATCCTAATACCAAAACCAACAAAGACAGAACAAAAAAGAACACTACAAGCCAATATCCTCGATAAACCTAGATGCAAAAATCCTCAACAAAATACTCACAAATCAATTTCAACAAGACAACATATTTTTTAAAAATCACTTATCATTATCAAGTGGGAATCATCTCAGGAATTCATGAATGGTTCAGCATATGCAAATCAATAAATATCATATATCACAGTAACATAATCAATAACAAAAACTATCCGATCATTTCAATAAGTGCTGAAAATTCATCTAATTTCAAATTTCACACTATCTGGTTTCCAATCTACAAAGCTACAGTAAATAAAAACAGTGTAGTAGTAACATAGAAACATACCTATAGATCAGTGGAATAGAATAGGAGAGCCCACAAACAAACCCTAACATGTATGATCAAATAATTTTTTGACAAGGGTGCCAGTACCATTCAATGGATAAGACAGTCTTGTCAACAAATGGTTCTGGGAAAATGGGATATCCACATGCCAAATAGTGAGATTAGACCCTTTTACTATATACAAAAATTCACTCAGAAATGGATAAAAGGCCCAAATGTAAAACCTAAAACTATAAAACTCTTAGAAGAAAACAGGGTAAAAGCTTCATTCCATTGGATTTGGTAAAGATTTCTTACATATGACACCAAAGCACAGGCAACAAAAGAAAAAAATAGCCAACTTGAACTTCATTAAAATTTAAAATATTTGCATCAAAGGGCAATTACTATTGGTGAAAATGTAAACCAGTATAGCTGCTATGAGAAACAGAATGACAGTTCCTCAAAAAATTAAAAATACAATTATCATATGATCCAGCAATTCTTCTTCTGGATATATACCCAAAAGAACTAAAAGCAACATTTCAAAGAGATATTTGTACACCCATGTTCATAGCAATATTATTCATAATAGCTAAAACATGGAAAAAACAAGTGCCCATAAATTAACGAACAGATATCAAAATGTGATATATACACACAATGAAATATTATTCAGTCTTAAAAAGGAAGGAAGTTCTCACATATGCTTCAACATGGATAAACGTTGAGGACATTATGCTGAATGAAATAAGCCAGTCACAAAAAAGAAGAATACTGTATGCTTTCACTTATATAAGTTACCTAGAGTAGTAAAAATTATAGAAACAGAAAGCAGAATGGTGGTTTCCAGGGGCTAGAAGAAGAGGGACATGGAGAGTTATAATTTAATGGGTGTAGAGTTTCAGTTTTACAAAGTGAAAGATTTACAGAAAAGGACGGTGATGATGGTTGCATAATATAAATGTATTTAATAACGCTGAATGGTACACTAAAAAAATTAAAACTAAAATATCTAATTACCACATGACCCTTCAGTTGTACTCCTGGGCATTTACACCAGAGAAACAAAAACTTAGGTTCACACAAAAATATGTACACAGATGATCATAGTTGTTTAGTAAGAATAGCCAAAAACCAGAAACAAGTCAAATTTCTTTGAATAGGTGAATGGCTACACTGTGGTACATCTATACCATGGAATATTATCCAATTCAGTATAAAGGAATAAACTATTGATACATGCAACAATATGAATGAATCTTCAGAGAGTTATACTGAGTGAAAATGGCCAATCGCCAAAAATTATAAACTGTATGATTCCATTTATATAACATTTTTGAAGTGGCAAAATTATTGAAATGAAAAACAAATTAGTGGTTGTTAGGGGTCAAGGATGGGGTTGGAGGGACAAGGTGTGACCATAAAAGAGCAATATGAAGAATCCTTGTGGTGATAGAAATGTTTTGTATCTTGATTGTATAATGTCAATATCCTGGTTGTGATATTACACTATAGTTTTTTAAGATGCTACAATTGGAGCAAAGTAGGTGAAAGAATATGGATATCTCTGTATTATTTCTTATAACTACATGTGCATCTACAATTAATTATCTCAAAAAGTTTAATTTTAAAAAACAAGATGACACTAAAGTAGAATTTGGGAGGAAATTTATAGTACTATAGGCACATATTAGAAAAGAAGAAAGTTCTCAAATTAATTAACTGTTTCCACTTTAAAAACTAGAGAAAGAAGATCAAATTAAACCCCAGGTAAGCAAAAGCAAAGAAATTTAAGTGATCAAAGCAGAATTCAATGAAATCGAATATAGAAACACAATAAAGAAGAGCAACGCACCCAAAAGTTGATTCTTTGTGAGAATCATGAGAATCAATACAATTGATAAACTTCTAGGCAGATGGATAAGGAAAAAAGAGAAGATACAAATTACAAATAACAGGAGTTAAAGAAGAGACATCAATACTGATCTCAAAGACATTAAAAATATGCCAATAAATTTGAAAGTGCAGATTTTTCACAATAGTTACTCATTTCTTAAAAAATAATAAACTTTATTTGGTCATAAATATTTATCTTACCTGAATATTTAAAGAAATGTAATTGGCATTACTGTGGCAGATAATGAACCAAAATTTAAGGATACATTCGTATAGCACCTGTTCTCGTCCCAATAGCCAAGATTTTCTGAACTGGATCAAAGGCTAATGCTGTGGGCTGATGAGGAAAACCATGCCGAACTGTCTGAAAGAGAGCAAATAATACCAATAAGTCTCTAGGGAAATAAAAATTACAATCACAAGATACCATTATATAGCCACCAGAATGTCTAAAATTAGTTTAAAGGAAAAAAAAAAGCTACCACCAAACATTAACACAGAGATGGAGTAACCTAAACTCATACATTGCTGATGGGAGTGTAAAATGATACAAACACTTTTTTAAAATATCTTGCAGTTTCTTATAAAACTAAATATACATCTGTCTTACAATCTAGCAATTCCACTCCTATGCATATATTCAGGAAAATTAAAAGCATATGTTCATAAAATGATTTGTATAAGTAAGACCCTACCAGCTGTATTCAAAATAGTAAAAATCTGGAAACAGCCCAGGTGTCCAACAAAAGAATTAAAAAAACAAACTGTGATATGATATAATCATACAATGGAATACTACTAAACAATTAAAAGACACAAACTACTGATAGATGCAACAACACAAATGATTCTCAAAAAAAACTATGCTAAGAAGCCATACACAAGTTTATAAAATCAGAACAGTAGTTGTCTTGAAGAGTTATTGATTGGGAAGGAATATGAAGAAACTTTTTTGAGTAAAGATGTAATATTCTGTATTTTCATAGCAATTTGGATTACACAAGCATATACATTAGTTAAAACTCATAAAATGGTACAATAAAATTTGTGATTTCTCTGCATATAAATTACACCTCAAAAAATGTTAAGAAATTATTAGAAACAAATATTAAAATCTATTCAATGTTATGTATACGGAGGTGTTAAAGGGTAAAGTATACTGACATCTGCAACTTGAAAATGCATCCACAAAATAATATAGATACCTGGGTGGACAGATGGATAGATAGATACATGATAAGTGAATGATAACTGTCAAATATTAGTGGTAAGAATATACATATTAGTGAGTGTTCACAATATAATTCTTTCAACTTTTCTTTCTGTTCCTGCCTTATACATCTAATAAATGGCATGTATAAAAAACCTACATCATAAAAATTAGTGAAAGAATCAATGTTTTCCTTCTAAGGTTAGGAATCAAACAAGTATTTCCACTCTATCCACCTCTATTCAATATTGTACTGAAGGTTCTATCCCATCCAGAGCAATTAGACAAGAAAAAGAAGTAAGACACATCCAGATAGGAAGGAAGAACTAAAACTATCTGCAAGGAACACAATTTTGTATAAATGCAATCCTAAGAAATACACTAAAAAATTATTAGAACTAATAAAGGAGCTCTGCAAGCTAAAGTTACAAAATTAATGTAAAAAACTCAATTGTGGGCTAGGCACAGTGGCCCATGTCTGTAATATCAGCACTTTGGGAGGCCAAAGCAGGAGGATTGCTTGAGTTCAGGAGTTCAAAACCAACCTGGGCAATATTACAAGACCCCATCTCTACAAAAAAAAAAAAAAAAGGAAAAATTCACCAGGCATGATGGCGCACACCTGCAGTCCCAGCTACTCAGGAGGCTAAGGCAGAAGGATCACTTGAGCCCAGGAGGTTGAAGCTGCAGTGAGCCATGATCATGTCACTACGCCCCAGCCTGAACAACAGAACAAGACCTCATCTCAAAAAAAAAAAAAAAAAAAAAGTCAATTGTGAGATCTTTCAAGGCTATTGGAGCTACTGGCAAAAAATTACTGTATAGATTTCCACTGCTGCTTATTTATAATGAGTAGTTTTCCCCACTCCAAGTTTATATTTCATATCATATTTGTTCAACAGCTCTTTAAGTGAATCTATTTCAAGCATGTCTGTAAGATCCATTTCTTGTTAGAACAATGCCTGACAATTGCTTAGAAACTATATGGAAAATGGGCTGGGTGCAGTGACTTGCACCTGTAATCCCAGCACTTTGGGAGGTCAAGGCAGGTGGATCACTTGAGCCCAGGAGTTCGATACCACCCTGGGCAAGATAGAGAGATCTTGTCTCTATTAAGAAAAAAAAAAATTAGCTGGGCATGGTGGTGCATGCCTATAGTCTCAGATACTCTGGAGGCTTAGATAGGAGGATCACTTGAGCCTGGGAGGTTGAGGCTGCAGTAAACCATGATCACACCACTGTACTCCAGCCTGGGTGACAGGGTACAAAAGAAACTATACGGAAAAAATTTTAAAAATTGTACACACCCTTATTCATTGACCAAGGATATTGTTTATTGATAAGGGCATGGGTACTTTATATAGTTGCATGATCAAGCATCCATCAATGCCAAAAGAAGAAAAATGACATTAATTGTTGTCAGAACTATAGAAACGGTGAGTTGAAGTCACTGCTTCAAAGTGTTTTTATGAAGATAAATGTCTTGATTCACCATGTTGCAAAATCACCATTATAAATCCAGTGCTTTACCATTAGGCTATAATAAAGGCTTTTATGAGGACTTAAAAGTGAAATATTAAAAAAATAAAAAGTCAATTGTATTCCTGCATACTAACAATAAACTATCCAAAAATAAAATAAAGAACCCCATTTATAATAAGTAGAATCCAAAGGAATAAAATATATAGGAATAAAATGAACAAAAGAAGTGCAAAATTTGTACTCTGAAAACTACACAATATTCTTTTAAAACTTGAAGATCTAAATAAAAGTCATCCCAGATATCTATAGATTAAACATTAATGTGGCAATACTCTCCGAATTGATATTAAAATCAATGCAATCTCTGTCAAAATCCCAGCTGGCTTTTTTGCAAAAATTGACAAACTAGCATTAGTTATATCTCCCAATGCTATCCCTCCCCCATCCCCCCACCCCACAACAGTCCCCAGAGTGTGATGTTCCCCTTCCTGTATCCATGTGTTCTCATTGTTCAATTCCCACCTATGAGTGAGAATATGCGGTGTTTGGTTTTTTGTTCTTGCGATAGTTTACTGAGAATGATGATTTCCAGTTTCATCCATGTCCCTACAAAGGACATGAACTCATCATTTTTTATGGCTGCATAGTATTCCATGGTGTATATGTGCCACATTTTCTTAATCCAGTCTATCATTGTTGGACATTTGGATTGGTTCCAAGTCTTTGCTATTGTGAATAGTGCCGCAATAAACATACGTGTGCATGTGTCTTTATAGCAGCATGATTTATACTCCTTTCGGTATATACCCCGTAATGGGATGGCTGGGTCAAATGGTATTTTTAGTTCTAGATCCCTGAGGAATCGCCACACTGACTTCCACAATGGTTGAACTAGTTTACAGTCCCAACAACAGTGTAAAAGTGTTCCTATTTCTCCACATCCTCTCCAGCACCTGTTGTTTCCTGACTTTTTAATGATTGCCATTCTAACTGGTGTGAGATGATATCTCATTGTGGTTCTGATTTGCATTTCTCCGATGGCCAGTGATGGTGAGCATTTTTTCATGTGTTTTTTGGCTGCATAAATGTCTTCTTTTGAGAAGTGTCTGTTCATGTCCTTCGCCCACTTTTTGATGGGGTTGTTTGTTTTTTTCTTGTAAATTTGTTTGAGTTCATTGTAGATTCTGGATATTAGCCCTTTGTCAGATGAGTAGGTTGCGAAAATTTTCTCCCATTTTTGTGGGTTGCCTGTTCACTCTGATGGTAGTTTCTTTTGCTGTGCAGTAGCTCTTTAGTTTAATTAGATCGCATTTGTCAATTTTGGCTTTTGTTGCCATTGCTTTTGGTGTTTTAGACATGAAGTCCTTGCCCGTGCCTATGTCCTGAATGGTAATGCCTAGGTTTTCTTCTACGGTTTTTATGGTTTTAGGTCTAATGTTTAAGTCTTTAATCCATCTTGAATTGATTTTTGTGTAAGGTGTAAGGAAGGGATCCAGTTTCAGCTTTCTACATATGGCTAGCCAGTTTTTCCAGCACCATTTATTAAATAGGGAATCCTTTCCCCATTGCTTGTTTTTCTCAGGTTTGTCAAAGATCAGATAGTTGTAGATATGCAGCATTATTTCTGAGGCCTCTGTTCTGTTCCATTGATCTATATCTGTTTTGGTACCAGTACCATGCTGTTTTGGTTACTGTAGCCTTGTAGTATAGTTTGAAGTCAGGTAGCGTGATGCCTCCAGCTTTGTTCTTTTGGCTTAGGGTTGACTTGGCGATGCTGGCTCTTTTTTGGTTCCATATGAACTTTAAAGTAGTTTTTTCCAATTCTGTGAAGAAAATCATTGGTAGCTTGATGGGGATGGCATTGAATCTATAAATTACTTTGGGCAGTATGGCCATTTTCACGATATTGATTCTTCCTACCCATGAGCATGGAATGTTCTTCCATTTGTTTGTATCCTCTTTTATTTCATTGAGCAGTGGGTGCAGCGCACCAGCATGTCTCATGTATACATATGTAACTAACCTACACATTGTGCACATGTACCCTAAAACTTAAAGTATAATAAAAAAAATTGACAAACTAATCCTAAAATTTAAATAGATATCCAAGAGACTCATAATAACAAAACAATCTTGAAAGAGAACAAAGTTAGGTAACTCACATTTTTCTATTTCAAAACTTATACAAACCTAAAGTAATCAAGAAAATAAGGTATTGGCATAAGGATAGACATATAGATTAATGGAACGGAAATGAGATTCCAGAAATAAATCCTCACATTTTCAGTCCATTGATTTTTGAAAAGAGTGCCAAGACAATTCATTGAGGAAAGACTAATCCTTTCAGCAAATGGTGCTGTAGCAACTCTATATCCACATGTAAAAGAATCAAGTTAAATCCCTTACTTATAACATACACAAAAATTAACTCAAAATGGATCGTACGTTTAAATATAAAAGTCAAAGCTATAAAACTCTAAGAATAAAGAAATCTGTTTAAATCTTAGTGACTTCAATTAGGTAATGTTTTTTTAAATTATTTTTTAATTGACAAAAATTATAAATGTTTATGGTTAGAACATGGTGTTTTGATGTATGTCTACACTGTGGAAAGGTAGACAATGGTTTCTTAAATAAAACACCAAAAACACAAGCAATGAAACAAAAAACAGACATATTGAACTCTGTCCAAAGCAAAAACTTATGCGCTATAAAGGACACCATCAAAGACAGTTAAAGAAAACAAATCTGGAGGCATTACATTATCTGACTTCAAACTATACTACAAGGCTATAGTTACCAAAACAGCATGGTACTGGTATAAAAATAGGCATGTAGACAAATGGAACAGAATAAAGAACCCAGAAATACAGCTGAATATTTTGACAAGGTATTTGACCTTCAACAAAGCAACCAAAAATATAAGGTAGGGAAAGGACACCCTATTTAACAAATGGTGCTGGGATAATTGGCAAGCCACATGTAGAAGAATGAAACTGGATCCTCATCTCTCACTTTATACAAAAATCACCTCAAGGTGGATCAAAGTCTTAAATCTAAAACCTGAAACCATAAAAATCCTAGAAGATAACATTGGAAAAACTCTTCTAGACATTGGCTTAGGCAAAGAGTTCATGACCAAGAACCCAAAAGCAAATGCAACAAAAACAAACATAAATAAATGGGACCTAATTAAACTAAAAAGCTTCTGCACAGCAAAAGAAATAATCAGCAGAGTAAACAGACAACCCACAGAATGGGAGAAAATATTCACTAACTATGCATCTGAGAAACAACTAATATCCAGAATCTACAAGAAACTCAAACAAATCAGCAAAAAATAAAAATATAAATATAATAATCCCATGAAAAATTGGGCAAAGGACATGAATAGACAATTCTCAAAAGAAGATACACAAATGGTCAACAAACATGAAAAATGCTCAAGACCATTAATTATCAAGAAAATGCAAATTAAAACCACAATGAGATACCACCTTACTCCTGCAAGACTGACCATAATTTAAAAATCAAAAAATAATAGATGTTGGCGTGGATGTGGTGAAAAGTGAACACTTTTACACTGCTGGTGGGAATATAAACTAGTACAACTCCTATAGAAAACAGTATAGATATTCCTTAAAGAGCTAAAAGTAGAACTACCATTTGATCCAGCAATCCCACCATTGGATATCTACTCAGAAGAAAAAAAAAATCATTATATGAAAAAGACACATGCACAGGCATGCTTATAGCTGCACAATTTCCAATCGCAGAAAAATATGGAACCAGCCTAAATGCCCATCAACCAATGAGTGAATAAAGAGAATGTGGTATATATACACCGTAAAATACTACTCTGTCATAAAAAGGAATGAAATAATAGCATTTACAGAAACCTGGGTGGAGTTGGAGACCATTATTCTAAGTTAAGTAACTCAGGAATGAAAAACCAAATATTACATGTTCTCACATATAAGTAAGAGCTAACCTATGAGGACACAAAGGCATAAGAATGATATAATGGATTTTGGGGGCTCAGGAGGAAGGGTGGGAGTTGGGTGAGAGTTAAAAACTACACATTGGGTACAGTGTACACTGCTCAGGTGATGGGTGCCAAAAATCTCAGAAATTAGCACTAAAGTAGTTATCTATGTAACCAAAAACCACCTGTTCCCCAAAAACTATTGAAATAAAAATGGGAAAGGATAATCCACAGAATGGGAAAATAATTTGCAAATCAAATATCTGAAAAAGAACTTAATCCAGAATATATAAAGAACCCTTAAAATTCAATAAAAAGACAAATAACCTAAATTTAAAATGGGCAAAGGATCTTAACAGACATTTATTATATAATAAATAAATAATATATATAAATGGCCAATAAACACCGAAAGATCCTCAACATCATTAGCCATTAGGGAACTGTAAATCATATCAACAAGATACAACTGTGCACCCACTAGGATAACTATAATAAAAAACAGATATATTAACACATGTTGATAAAGATGTAAAGAAATTGGAGCCCTAATACATTGCTGTTAGAAATGTAAAATAATGCAGGCTCTTTGGAAAATAGATTGGTAGTTCCTCAATATATGAAATACAGAGTTACCATATGATTCAGCAATTCTGCTCCTGGGCATAAACCCAAGAGAAATGAAAACATAAATATAAACAAAGCTCTTGTAATGTTCATAGCAGCATTATTCATAGCAGCCAAAAAGAAACAACTCAAATGTCCATCGACTGATGAATAAATAAACAAAATGTGGTATATCCACACAATAGAATATTGTTCCTCAATTTTAAAAAATGAAGTACTGATATGTGCTACAACATAGATGAACCTTGAAAATGTTATGCTAACTGAAGAAGCTAGTCACATACTGTATGATTCCATTTACATGAAGTGTATAGAATAGGAAAATCTATAGAAACAGAATTTATATTAGTGGTTGCCAAGGGATGGGGGTTCAGAGTAATAGGAATTGACTGTTAATGAATACAACGTGCCTTTCTGGACTGATGGAAATGTTCTAAAATTGATCGTGGAGGTTGTTGCACAACTCTGTGAACATACCAAACACCACTGAAATGTACACTTTAAATAGGTGAATTGTATGGTGGGTGGGTTATATTTCAATTTGAAGTAAAAGAATTTTTTCTTCTCAAGAACACCAAATCGTATTATGAGACAAAGTATGCAATAAAAAGTTGACATCAGTTGGGGTACCTAGTTGATTTCAAAAGAATCAAGGACATCAACTGGAATGATATAGATGCAGTAGGAAAAAAGGAGCAAAGAAAATGTAGAACAGAGTTTGAAGACAACTATGTTAAGCTTAAAAAATTCTCAGTTTTAGACAAAGTCAAAAAGTGTTCTTGAAATATTATAATTTATGCTCAGTGAAGTAAGATAATGGTAGCAAAGCTAGTAAAAAATAAGTGAATTTCTTAATATCTAGCTCTTCTTAATGCTACTTTGCTTTGCTTGTTTTCTTTTGTTCCACTCTCCCTTCAAAATATTACAGGAATGAAGTGGCCAACGTATCAATAGTTACACAAATCTATCTAGATATTTGAAGCAAATAAATATGTAATAGAAAGAATTAGTTACAAATATGTGGGAGGGCTAGTCATACTACCCTGAGTTAAGGAAGTTGCTACCTCTTCTGAGGATGAAATACATAAACCTGTACTCAGTGCTGATATTGCAAGAGGCACTACCGGAAACAAAATGACTTTTGCTTCCCCTCTACTTTTTAATTTGACATAAGTGCCTCCCATTGGCAGAATCTAACCAGAACCCAGCTACCAAAAAAATCTGAATATTTTAGTGTAGTTTTAGTTTTAGTTTTCTTAGTATAATTGGGAACACAAAGGGACCAGGATAGAACTAACAGCAGTACTTTGGCAAAGCAGAATTTATATTAGGCCTGATTGTTCAGGCTTAATACTGTCATAATGTGGCAAAATAGCCTCAAAACCACCTGTGATGGGGACTGTCTACTGTTCCCCAATGTCTGCATTTTTCCCTTCTATACTAATAGAAGTTTTAGTTCAGCAGATAACAATCCAGTTAAATACTATATTTATCAGCCTCCACTGCAGGCTAGACCAGATCGTGAACAAAGGAAAACAGAAGAAATTATATATAATATATTCTTAATGGTAAAGGCAAATATTCTATTTTTCTTACCTTCTGACTGATTGGAAAATAGATACAATAGCAGGAGTTAGAACAGCCATCTTAGAATATGAAATGGAAGCCATATGTTGAGGATGGCAGAACAAGATAGAAAGATCTTGTTGGATTATTGACACCGTACAATCATGGAATCAGTTCAAGGTTGCTTTTGATTGGACATATTCATAAAAGACAGATAAATTTCTATATTGTTTAAGCCACAGTTATTATGGCCTGTTACAGTAGCCTAACTTGCATCCTAATACATACCCCAACCATTCATTTTTAAAAAGAAGTAAATATTAGATCACCAAGTTAATTTATGAGGAATGCTTCCCAGTATTGATCATCAGCCTAAAAAATGAAAAAAATAAATATGGCTTTTGATTCTAAAGACTTCTAGTGTGCTATCATATTAATGGTTCATGCTGTGAAAGTTGCAGATACCAGAATGAAATCATTTTTTGTAGACCCAAACAAACCAGAGCTGGAAAAGCGAAAAGCATGAAGGGTTCATGCTTGCATGTCTGAGATAAAGACTGTCTCAAGGACTTTCTAAAACAACTCCAAGAGAAATTCTTTTTTCAGTACTGCTATAATTAATATAAGATCCTCTTGAAAGAACACTTGCCCAGTAATAGCGTTTCCACCAATGAACTGATGCCAACTCTGGCTTTGAGTCTCCAAAACCAATGACCTCTATTTCCAAGCAGTTTATGTGAACTTCTCCTTTTGCCAATACCAGCTTCGTTTTACTCTCGCCTCTTCAGATGCATACATGGCTTGGCATGGCTATGCATCTCAGGTTAAAAAAAACTTCATTTCTAATTCCCAAATAAATTCAACATATTTGGACATATTTTTCATCTGATTTTTTTGGTTGACATTGCATATATATATCCTATTCAAATAATACTGATATGCCAAAGCTATCATTTCTATATTTGAACACAGAACTCCTAGAAGCATTGTACCAGGTTTCACTTAATAATATTAATGTAACCATTGGAAACTACCATGTATAGAAAATAATAATAATACCTATATGTAACAGGGAATAGAATATTCCAATTATGAAATACATTTATTTTATTTAAAAATTATTCTAGGTAGAAGATTTGCCAGTAAATAGCTATGATTACCTAATATATGCTATGCCTTTTCTGATATTAGGTTACTTGTCGAGTTTTTGGTCTACAGATGTTACACTCTGGGTAAAGTGTGGATTGGGGCATATCATTCCAGATCTTGAATTCAGAAATTGTACATAAACTGTCTCAAAATTTATGCAGTAAGTCATGAATTGATATAATTTGAGATAAAATATCTGTAGTAAGGAACGTGATGGACACAACATATTTTGCCACTTTGGTAAACAAAAGCCAATTATTACTGGAACTATGGAGCAACTCTCATTGTTGAGAAAGGTCCCTCAATTTCAATGATGCTTGTTTTCAATAACAGCCAAATCATTTAAACCTTGAGTTTTTTAGGATTATGTGTGTATGTTCACAGCTCTTACCTAAATCTGATGTCATCTTGGGTCACTGAAAGTATTGCTGAATAATTTCCTGCTCTCTTGGATGAAAGAAAAGACTAAGTAAAAGGTCTATAATGCATATGACACCATAGAGTGGCATAACGGTGATAGAAATAACAAGTTCCCATGAAACTCCATCACATTGTGATTCAAAAAAATAAAAAAGTAAGATTGTTCTGTATGCACAAGAGTGGCAAATTACCTGCTCACGTAAACAACCACTGGTCATTGGCGATGGAAGTATTGGTACTAGTTTCTCAGTAAGACTTACAAATCTCTTGAAATAACAAGGAAACTATCACATTCAAAGATCCAAAAGGTAGTTATATTAAATTGTTAAAAGAATAAAGCACTAATCCACTCCCATTTTATATTTGGAAATATATATAATAGAAATGGGATATTTGTTCATTAACTTATTTTTTGAAATTTTATATCTAACTTTTTTCTCTTCTCATGCTAGTTTTATTTTTAACATAGTCTATCATGCACATAGTTTAACAAGTCATATAATTCTATAGGACATATTAAGATAATTAAAAGTCATATGTCTCCTTCCCTCTCCCATTTCCTACTTCCCAGATGCAACCACTTTTCAATATTTTTTGCTCTTTATTTTTGTATTTTTACTTAATGTGTCTCAAAATAACATTTTTACATTGCTACTTACTGACTTTTCCAAAGGGAAAAAAAAAGGATTCTCTTTCTCACCTACCCCCATTACACATACAAGCATACTTCCCACATCCCCATCCTCCAAAAAAAAATCCTAACTGTTCAGTCTCTACTAACTACTACTCTTTTACTTTGCCACACAAATGTTTTTGTTCCCTGGGGCTAATTTTTTTAAATTTTCTTCATTTCCTTAGTTTTTATGTGCTTATCACTAATTCAGTCCCAAACTCTTCCCCCAATTGCCCTCATCTTTCAATATGTTAAACATCAGATACATATATTCAAACAGAAGAGACAGAGAAAAAGAGAGAAAGCGAGACAGAGAGAAAAATAAACTATATAAGATACTAATGATCCAGTTTAAAAAAAAAAAAGAAGAAGAAGAAGAAAACAGTTGTTTCCTGGGTCCAAGGCAGAAAAGATGGATGGGCTGCTGCAAAGGGCCACAAAGGATGAAATAGCCACAAAAGGGCTATTTTGAATATAGTAGTAATTTCACAGGAAACTCATCATATTTTATAGTCTACATAATATCAGATTGTTTTAAGCATTATAAAGCAAATGAAGACTTATAAATATAGGTGCAAAACACTAAATAAGATACTGATAAATCAAAACCAAGTGATATATTCAAACAATGATAAACCATGGCCAAACACATTTTATTCCACAAATGTAAGTATAGATACTAAATATATATACCTCATACTCTTATTAGTTACTAACTTATTTTATCCTTTTCCTTTCCTTAATTTAAATTTTGAGTTTTCCAGACCCTAGCCTTCAAATTGTGAGAACTTCTAACTGCTTACAAAATAAACCTTGGCAAGATACAGATACAGAAAAGCAAATGATATTCTTCATCATATAAATGTCTTTGCAAATGTTGTCTCTAAAAAGGAGTCTTACAAGACAGCTGTACTTTACAGATTGCTGCTACCTCTTGTGAATATAATCTTTAGTCTCTAAGGAATCTGTAATTCTGATTGTTTGTTTTACTTAATTTTTTCCTGTGATAATAATTTTTAATTGACATAGCATTTTCAGAAAAATATAAATATGAGTTAATTTTATTTACAAAGCCAGAAAATTATTCATACTTTTTCTTTTTCATGGAAGGGAAAATAAATAAAATTTAAAACATATTTCTGTTAGATTTCAACAAGAAGTTGAATAAGGATTTGTATTGACATTATTCATTAATCAACAAATTAAAGAATAAAACCATGATTATATCATTAGGTTCTGGAAAGGCATTTGATGAAATTTAGCAGTCAAACCAGGTAAATATGTGAAATAGGATTAGAAGAAAATGACATAATGAAAATAACAAACATATGCTAAACAACAAAAAACTACAGTCATTCCCATTAAAATCAGGAATAAAACATATATATTTGCTATTCCCATTATTATTCAACTTTGTTTTATAAATTCAAGCTAATTCAGCAAGACAATAAATTGAAATAATGCATATAAATACAAGAAAATAGAAACAAATTACTAAAAATGTTTTGGAAATAAAAGAATGTGGTAAATTATCTAGGTAGAAGATTAAAACAAAAAAAAATCAGTAGCTATTACCTATACTAGCAATAAGCAATTACCAAAAAAAAAGGGAGGAAATTCTTATTTATATTTCTAGTTGTAAATTTGAAGTCTGTTAAATTTGTTAAAAGCCTCAAAACAAAGGTTTTATTCAGTAACATTGAATAATATATTTTCTATTATATAAAGTGGTTAGAAAGACAAAATACTTTTCACTAGCTTGGAACTTAGATTAACCTGTTTTCATAATCTTCATTAATAGCAGTATTATATTCATATATCTCAATGTTTATTGAATACTACAGAAATTACAATACCATTGTTATAATTCTATTAGAAATACAGAGCCGATGTCATCAATTTCTACTGTAGCTGTGACAATAAAATCCCATCAGAATTTAGTATTCAAGAAGTAATTATTTGTTTATATATCTCAAGAACAATTTTAATATTTTGCTTTGATTGGAGCTGCTAATAAAATATCTTTTCAAAGTATCTTCAAAAACCTAATAGTCATAAAATTATTTATACACAGCGATTAAACGAATGAGGTCCTAAATGTTAGCATTTTTCACAAATAAAATATTCACCTATTTATCTTCTCAAATTCCAAGTCAAAGCCTTACTGCTACATAAAATATTTGTTAAAATGCTAAGCCAACACCACAGCTTAGGTGTTTTAAATGGCTTGTGTTTAAATGCTTATAGGAGCATATGTGTACTGAATTCTCCTTGAAAATAATATTCAGCTCACTGTGAAGACATTTAATTTTTCCTTTTTTGATTTTTCCATTTTTATTCAAAGTTATTGACGAATGATATGGCACTTTGGTCTCCCCAAATAAGTTCTAAACTCCTTTATAAACAGACATCATGCCTTCCATTTGCCCCCTTCACTGAGCCTAGTGCCACGATTAAATATTAATAGGTAGTGTTTTCCAGTTCATTGATATGATTTGTGTATATAAGCAGTTTTTCCTTCAAAAACTGTTATGTCATATTTTAAGAAAGGTAAATAATTGTAATAAAGTATTTTGTAAATATTTAAATAAATTCCTTATCTAGAATAATGTTTAAATCAATATATAATTATCTCTGTATTCAGAGCTGTTGTCTGAACTTTCTATAGTAATGAAGGCACATTTAAAATTTTTTTTAAAAGTACAGTAGCTTTCATTCTCACCCTTTTCCCACTGACCATCCTTGTGACTACTGTCACCATATTAAACTGAATTATATAATGCTAGGATGTTAGAACAGAATGAGCACCTACATTTTTACAATATTTTATGCAGTTATATAATTGCCAATATGTTATGCATACTAATGTATTATTAAATCTAGTGATTATTACAGATTAAAAGTAGATTATTCTTTACTACCTGTGTTTCTTCCCTACCGTATTAATTACTTGAGATCAGAGATTCTATTGTTTAAAGCTCAAGAGCCTTATAAGCATTCAAAATACTACTTATTTTTATCAAAATTCATATATATGAGTAACTTATTCTGTAATTCACACTGTTAATCTTACCCCAAAACTCATGATTGAGATAATGCATGTTAATATGCTCTGTAAGTTGAACATATTATGTAAGTACAAATTTATAGTACTTAAACTTAAAAGAAAAGTGTCCTTTCAAAACACGAGAGAATCAAGTTCAAATTAAATTCATTTACCATCTCTAAACTATCTCATCATCTCTCATACTATCACTTCCTTTCATAATATTATATATATATATGTTAAAACATACCTTCAAAGAAACACATCAAATTATATATATTAACAGGCCCAATTCTTGCCATTGAAAAGTATATATACATACCAATATATAGTGACAGAGTAATACGAATACCAGCACACTAATAACATGAACTAACCATGGGCATAACCCCTAAAGGATATCCAATCCTATCATCTTTATTATTCAATAAAGAACACAAGACTGAAAGAACAATCTCTCATGTAGCCAGATAGTGCTCTACAAATAAATTCCACTGTTTTTTTTTTTCCACCCCTAGGACTCATTTTCATCTTCTTACGTGATTTTACCATCTGGCTTATATATTTTCTCTCTACTCTGGACCCTATCAACAGCCTCAGAGTCTTCAATATCCTTGCTTCAATTTATCATACACTTTGACCTCATCATTCTGTCCTCTCTTTCAACTCAACAAATCATCACTAATTAATATCAGCCTCAAATGAACACAGCCTCGTCATCATACTCTTCTAGACTCTTAAGAACTCAAATTTGGTATTCCATTTCGCAGTATCTTTTATGGTCATGGCTTCCACTCCATCTTTCTTCCTGCCCTAGTACTTCCACTTAAATTCTCCTGCTTGTCTGAAACTTTTATTTTCTTCCTAGCTACACTAGCTTCTCTCCCCAGAGTATTTAACATGTAAACACATTGCAACTTAATACTGTATCACATTTGAAAAACATAAATACATCTTTTGTTGAATCTATTTTATGTGTCTATATAGCTATCAAACTAATTTATATGAACTTAATGATCTTTCTCATTGATATATAATAAAAATGGAAATTAGCAGTCATAGAAAATAATTTGGCTTTTGGGTAAAATAAAAACCACTTTTAAAAAAAATGAAAATCTTGTGAAACAAAATTACAGAAATAGAATGACATGTAAAAATATTTTGTTAGAAGTCAGGAGACGTAGTTCAGTTCTCAGGTCTGTCACTGGCAATCTAACCTGGACACATTACTCAATCTCTCAGTTTCTTCATCTATAAAATAAAAGAGTGAACTAGATCATTTTAAGGTCCCCTTCCAATTCCATCTGTACTTCTAATACAAATACTTGTACCGGAAACCATGTTAAACACCTGATTAAATACCTATAGACACTTGATAGGTATTTCTATATTTCTCAGTAATAGTGTATTTCTTAAAAGAAACAAGAATGGGGTTATGTTTAACGTTATGTTCGACGATTGAAAAAGATTAGTTATCTAACTAATTATGGTGTTAAACTACTAAAGACGATTTGCTGTTGCTTTCGTCTGATTCCCTCATGAGCTACACACTTGCATTTCAAACAGTCCACTGAGATATCAGGTACTGTTGTTATTTCTATAAATATGAATAGCTTTTAGGTATCTGTGGGTTACCTCTTTTCCTCAGATGGTGACTTCTTCAATTTCCAGTAGTAGACAGGGGAGGGGGAACATTTTGAGCCTCCATCATAAATAAAATAAAATCTAAATACACAATCTACTTACAGAAACAGTATTTTTGTCCCCTACCAAAGAAGTAATATAGTCCATGTCTTTCTTTCTTAGCTTATTTGTTGCCAGTTGCAAAGAACTTGAAAATGACAGCTGTCCTCTTGCTACATTAGCAATAAACCAAGAAGTCTATATGTATACAATCCTTGCACCCAGGGCTGATATCCCTACCATTTGTTTACTACGTACTAGACACAATGAAAAACACTTTACGTGGATTATATCATTTAATTTTTATTTATTTCTATAGCCCCATGAGATGGGTGGTATGATTACAAATGATGAAATTGAGGCTTACAAAGGCTAATCAAGGCCAGGAGTCCTGACACAAGCCTGTAATCCCAGCACTATGGGAGGCCAAGGTGGGAGGATCACTTGAGGCTATGAGTTGAGACCAGCCTGGGCAACATAGTGAGACTCCATCTCTACAAAAAATAAAAATAAATTAGCCAGGAATGGTGTTTCGCCCCTGTAGTTCCAGCTACTTGGGAAGGATGAGGTGGGAGGATCCCTTCAACCCAGGAGTTCGACACTGCAGTGAGCTATGATTTTGCCATTGCACTCCAGCCTGGGCAACAGAGCAAGCCTCTGTCTCTAAGAAGAAAAAAGAAAAAGAAAGGCTAATCAACTGTTCAAGGTCACCAACCTAGTGAATACACATGGTGTGACTGATAGCTTTAGAATGAGAGCTATATAGCATTTCAGTAGTTTGATCCCATCTCGAGATGAAAGAACTTGATTTGCCCTATATGAATTTAAGACCAGAGACAAAAATGGCTTTCAAAAGAATTATAGCTTGGTGTAGAGTCAAGATCAACCATTGAGTTAAAGGAACCACAGGATAATAACCAAATGTTTTGGATTTGGGTTGCTCAACCTGTACAACCTTTCAGTGGGACAATTTGGTCGCATATATCAAAAACCTTTAAAAATATGCTAACTTTCTAGCTGTGAAGTTGCTCTCCTAGGAATTTATCCCAAGGAAGAATTCTAAGTATATAAAGATGCACAAAGACATTTAATGTAGTATCTTTAGGAAAGTAAAATATTAGAAATAATTGAGTAATGATTTAAATAAGCCAGGATGCTTAATAGAATTCTATGAACCACTTAACCATATATAAAAAATAAATAAATGAGCAGACAAGGAAGATGTTAATAATATATTAAGTAGAAATATTACCAAGAAGAATGTATCAATCCCATTTTTATATAAAAACTTTTTACATGTAATCATAAACATAGAAAAACATCACATATAAATACTGTGAAACATTAATGATGGTTATATCTAGGTAAAATAATAGATTGTTCTGTTTTTGCTTACCTGTATTTTCTAACTTTTTTACATGGAAGATACATTACTTGTAAAATAAAAAAAAACTTTTAAAAGAAAAAGAATGCTGGATACATCTTAAACACTCACTAAACACTTCTCAATTTTAAAATAACTCATAGTAAACCTCAATATAATTAAAAGGTTAAACTTATGCCCCTATTATTGTGTATCAAAATCAGATTTGAGTCTACGAAGTAACTCAGAAAGTTGTAAATCATTAACAATTATTTACTACTATTATGATACTGAGACCCTTGTTTAAGTATATAAATTAATTCCAACATAGACCCTAAGATTTTAAGTTTTTTTGTTTGTTTGTTTTTTAAGATACTGAAATTTCCATTTCTAGTCTGGCATGTGGAAGCTTAGATAGAAGTCATCGCTCTCCTCCACAAAACAAGAAAAAAGCAAAGAAACTGAAAATCAACAACTTTCTTTAGATCCATCAGAAAACTAAGGTCACAGGACAAATTGCTGTCCCAAAAACAGAGAGACAGACAGGCAGATATAGGGATCACAACATACCTGAGCAGAAACCTAAGGACAGAAACTTCCGCGTGGGAAGCAGTAACAGGGTTCGAGCTACAGTGATTACAGCCTAAAATTTAACTGACAAATTGCTGGAGGTTTAATGTGAACAAGTTTGAGAGTTAAAAACTCTGGTGGAGTGGGGAGGGTTAGAGGTGTCCCTACACTTTTGTGAGTTTTACCTGCAACTCACTTTTGTGAGGTTATTACAGTGAAGATCAGAACAAAATTTCAACCTGCTTCCAGCAGAGGGAGGGAAAAAGGAGTCATTTTGAAATATACTCAGAGCATTCTGTTCTTAACAAGACCTGTCCTCAAGAGAAACTAGTTTCCACTTAAAACTAGTGGAAACTAGTTTACTTAAGTAAAACTTTATCCAAGTGAGGTTTTACACACAGCCTAACCAAACTGAAGGAAGAGATATGCCCACCTCCAGCCATCTCCAGCCTTCCAGGTAGGGGAAGAGAGAAGAAATACCAACTCTAGCCTTCCTGTCTCCCCTAATAAAAGAAAAATAAATCAACCTGAGAAGCACTTGTGAAGGTCACAGCCCAAGGACACAGGCTCACTAAAAGACTGAGTCCTAATTATAGACCTACAGAATGTTTTCCCTCCCCCACACCTCAACACCACATCAATAGGGCTCCTATAATAACAGGGGAAAACAACTTTTAAAAACTGCATGTGGCCAGGCGTGGTGGCTCACGCCTGTAATCCCAGCACTTTGGGAGGCCTAAAAATACAAAAAAATTAGCCGGGTGTGGTGGTGGGCACCAGTAGTCCCAGCTACTTGGGAGGCTGAGGCAGGAGAATGGCATAAACCCGGGAGGTGGAGGTTGTGGTGAACCGAGATCACGCCACTGCCCTCCAGCCTGGGAGACAGAGCGAGACTCTGTCAAAAAAAAAAACCTGCATGTATCAGACTTTATTTAAGAAAGAGTCTCTAAGTGAACCTAAAGACAACTGAAGATACAAAAACAAGGACACAGAAAAAAATTTTGCCATCTGACATTACAGCTACAGCTACAGCAAAGAACAATCACAGCTTGACCCCAATCAGATAAACATAATCTCAAACTAAAAGCCTATGTATCTCAGTCCCTTTTATCCTGTGCATCCTTTTTTCCATTTTAAAAATTACAAGATGTACTAAAAGACCAAAAAAGACACAGTTTGTAGAGACAGCAAGTGTCAAAAACTGCATCAGACATGACAGAGATTTTTTAAATCTATGATTAATAAGCTATGGGCTTTATAAAAAACAGTGGATACCATGTAAGAACAGGTGGGTAATTTAAGCAGAGAAATGGAAACTCTAAGAATCAAAAAGAAATGCTAGAAATCAAAAGCCCTCTAACAGAAATGAAGAATGTCCTTGATGGGCTCACCTATAGACTGGAAATGGCTGAAGAAAGAAAAGAGTGAGCTTGAAGAAAATTCAATAGAAATTTTCAAACTGATATGCAAAGAGAAAAAAGAAGAATCGAATATCCTAGCACTATGAGATGATTATCAAAAAATGTAAATACACATAATGGGAATATCAGAAAGGTCAAGAGAAAGAAACAGAAGAAATATTTGAAGCAATAGTGACTGAGAATTTCCCAAAATTAACGACAGACACCAAACCATAATTCTAGGAAGCTCAGCTCACCAAATAGGATAAACACCAAAAAATATATGCATAGGATATTATATCCAAACTACAGAAGATCAAAGACAAAGAGAAAAATCTTTAAAAAAAAACGCAGAAAAACTAAACTTTATCTATTGAGGACTTAGGGTAAGAATTATATCAGATTTCTCTTCAGGAACAATGCAAACCATAAAAATGTGAAGTGATATGTTTAAAGTGTTGAAAGAAAAACACCACACCAACCTAGAATTCTGTATCCAATAAAATTATTCTTCAAAAGGGAAGGAGAAATAACCTTCTTGAACAAACAAAAATTGAGGGAATTTGTCACCAGTAGATCTTCCTTGCAAGAAATGCTAAAAGAAATTCTTCAGAAAGAAGGAAAATGATATGGGTCAGAAACGTAGATCTATACAAAGAAAGAAAGACTGTTAGGGAAATAATAAATAAGGGTAAAAAAAACTTTTTAAATTAAATTCTTAATTGAGCTAACAGATTTTTTTTTTCAAAAATAGTAATAGCAACAATGTACTTGGTGATTATAACCTATGGATAAGTAAAATGAATGAACGCAGTTATAAAGGACAGGAGGAAAAAACTGGAAATACTTTATTATAAGGGAACTTGCATGGCTCATGTAGTGGTACATTGTTATTTAAAGGGGTCTTGGATTAGTTGTGAATATATATTGCAAACCTAAGGGCAACCACTAAAAAAAGTATAAAAATAAGTAGAATTAATAAGAGAGGAGAGAAAATTGAATGATATAAAATGCTCAAAGTTAGACAAGACAGAAAAAGAGTATAAGACCAAAAAAAAACCAGAAAGAACAAAGCCAACAAATAAAAATGGTAACAAATATGATAGATATTAATTCAACTCTATCAATAACCATTTTAAATGGCAATGAATTAAATATATCAATTAAAAGACAGAGACTGTCAAGGTGGATTAAAAAACCAGTCCCCCACTATATGTTGTCTACAAGAAACCCACTTTAATATAAAGACACAGACTGATTAAAACTAAAGGGATAGAGAAAGATACTATGCAAACACTAATTAAAATAAAACAGGTGTAGCTATAGTAATTTCAGATAATGCCAAATTCAGGACAAGGAAAAAAAATACCAAGGATAAAGATGGACATTACGTAATGATAAAGGGGCTAATTCTTCCAGAGGAAATAAGAATCCTTAATGTCTATGTGTCTAACAATAGAGCATCAAAATACGTAAAGCAAAAACTAATAGAAGTACAAGGAGAAATAGATAAATCCACTATAATCGTTGGAGACTTCACCCCTCTCTCAATAATTAACAGATCTCACAGGCCAAAAATTAGTAAAGATATAGTAAAAGTTAAAAGTACCATCATCAACTGGATCTGATTGGCATTTATAGAATATTTTATCCAACAACAGCAGAACACACATTCTTCTCAAGTTCACACAACATTCGCAAAGGTAAACCACATTCTGGGCCATAAAACATACCTTAACAAATTTAAAAGAATAGAAACCAAACAAAGTATGCTCTAAGACCATAGTGTAATTAAACTAGAAGTCAATAACAGAGAGATAGCTGGAAACCCCCAAAATACTTGGAGATTAGACAACACACTTCTAAATAGCACATGGGTCAAAGAAGTCATATGAGAAATTTACAATATACTGAAATCTTAACATGCCTCAAGACAATTTAGCACCAGAAATTATTCTTAATCTTGGAACACAGGCAGAATGTACAACTGAGACAGTGAAAAGAAAGACTGAACAAAGAGAAATGAAAAAAAAAAAAAGAAAAAGAAAACTAGGGAAAGAAATAAATTAGAGCTAACCTAGGCAGAGAGAATACGAAGGGCAAAAAAAAAGCTCAAAATTTTTTGCAGTGTGAAGTTACAAGAAGAAAATGATTGGTGGTTTCATTCAAAATGAAATTGAAGGTTTCAGCAAACTACAATCATTCCTTTAAAAGTAATCCACTCTCTAGATAAAGGAGATTTTTTTAAAACTTTGGTCAGTAGACCTGGTATTGAATTCGTTTTGCTACTGGTTCCTAAATGATCTTTAATCCTAGTTCTTCAAGATCAAGCTATTTAAATTCTTGTCCACTATCATAGTTCCTCCCATATCACTCTTTCCTCTGCTCTTCTAGGATCTGGAATTTTCATCTTGAATATTAATCTCTGCCTATGCTTAATCACATGAAAGCAAGTAAATACAATTTTTAGACAGATTCCTTCTGTGACTATGCCCTATGCACTTCCTTGTCTGAATCTCCACCCAATGCAGTAAGTTTCTGAGTATGATTAATTCAACAGTCTGGCTATCTTATTACCAAATATTAATACAATGCTCTCATCAAAATATATATTTGTTAAAGATATTATTTTACCTCATAAAATTTTCTTATATCACACAATTTATGTTTGCCAGTATGACAGAATGACTAAAAGCAAAGGGTTGAAAAAAACAGCAGTGACACTACTCCATCAGTATAGAATGTTTGCAGTGATGTTGGCCAGATAATTTAGCTTCTGAGATACAGTTAAAATAACTGCGTCAGCTAATGTTGCATAGTTTAGGTAAAAAATCAGAATATTATAGTCAACTTATCTCACTCAGCCTAATTCATACACAACAGAGCTTCCTGTAGGATTTTTGGAATTTAATTTTATTTCTTTTTTTATTATTATTATACTTTAAGTTTTAGGGTACCTGTGCACAATGTGCAGGTTAGTTATATATGTATACATGTGCCATGTTGGTGTGCTGCACCCATTAACTCGTCATTTAACATTAGGTATATCTCCTAATGCTATCCCTCCCCCTCCCCCCACCCCACAACAGGCCCTGGTGTGTGATGTTCCCCTTCCTATGTCCATGTGTTCTCATTGTTCAATTCCTACCTATGAGTGAGAACATGTGGTGTTTGGTTTTTTGTCCTTGCGATAGTTTACTGAGAATGATGGTTTCCAGCTTCATCCATGTCCCTACAAAGGACATGAACTCATCATTTTTTATGGCTGCATAGTATTCCATGGTGTATATGTGCCACATTTTCTTAATCCAGCCTATCATTGTTGGACATTTGGGTTGGTTCCAAGTCTTTGCTATTGTGAATAGTGCCGCAATAAACATACGTGTGCATGTGTCTTTATAGCAGCATGATTTATAATCCTTTGGGCATATACCCAGTAATGGGATTGCTGGGTCAAATGGTATTTCCAGTTCTACATCCCTGAGGAATCGCCACACTGACTTCCACAATGGTTGAACTAGTTTACAGTCCCAACAGTGTTAATTTTATTTCTATAATAGCTTTTATAAACAGTTTAATTTTTTAAAATTCACTTTATTTCTACAGTAACTGGAATTTTGTGGATTCACCTAGCTACACAAAAAATACTAAAGCGATTTGCTGGGTTGAACTACTCTCAGAAAAATAAAAGCTACTTCAAATCTTCTATTTATCTGCTAGAATTAAAAATGGCTGCCTGCTAGACTATTATATGGAGGAAATAACATCTGCATTACTTTCTCAAAGTGGAGAGGGAAAGAAATGTAAATAAATAGAGAAATCATGTAAATAATAAGAGCATAAGAAATTTATATACTTAGGAGAGTTGTTTCCAAGAACACTATTTCAAGTTCATACCATCATGTGCTGCATAATGACATTTTGGTCAACAATGGACTACTTATTATGGGTGGACCCATAAAATTATAATACCATAATTTTTACTGTACTTTTTCTATGTTGAGATATACTTAGATACACAAATACTTACCATTCTGTTATACCTGCCTACAGTGTTCAGTACAAGCAACATGCTATATAGGTTTATAACCCAGGAGCAATAGGCTATACTATATAGCTAAGTGTGTGGTAGGCTATGCCATATAGGTTTGTGTAAGTACACTCTGTGACGTTCACACAATGACCAAATTGTCTACCAATGCATTTCTCAGAACCTATCCCTATCATTAAGTTACATGTGACTGTATATAATTACACTGTAACAATAGCTGTTATCCAACAATTACATAACAAATACAAATATGGCAGCCATTGGCCATTTCCTGATTATTCTGGGCTGATGATTGCAGAGATTGTGGTTTGACTTCCCAGACTGGTTGCTGCAGGGATTGTGGTTTGGTTTCCTTCTCTGGTTGCTGCAAATCGACCAATACAAATTGTTGCCTAATAATGAGAAATTTTTTTTCTTATCTAGTTCTTAAAGCATACCTGCTTAGCAACATATTCTAGCAACTTTATCTACAAAAACTACTTTAAAAGTAATAAATTGATTTTTTAACAAAAGAAAAAATAAGCAACCTCTAACAGCTGTAAGCTGCAGTTTACCTGGCACTAAGGGCTGGGTCATGGTTTTCTCTTTTGGAACATGAATAATTTCACAGAAAACCAACATCAAACAAAGCCACTCTATGACCGTAATAAAGCAAGACAAAAATAAAACCACTGTGGAATCATGTCTGGGTAGTGATAACTGTAAGAATATTGTACAAACCACACTAATAGCTAAAGGCTCCCCTTATCCAGCTAACATATGCAACTGCTTCTTCTTTACCTATTATGTAGCCTCATGCCACTCTTCCTACCTTCTAGTTAAAACGTCTTAGGATAACAAATGATAGAATTACCCCACTTTCTGACAATATCTAATTCGTGTTTCTTTGAACTTTGTCTAAAATGACCTAACACAAGTTCAAATCCTGTAACAAGCCCTCCCTATGGTATATAGTCTCCCTTATTCTAAAAAAAAAAAAAAAGAGAAAACCCAACTTTGTTTAACTACAGGTATGCAGTCTTTGGCTGATAGGCACACAAACTGTATTTCCTTTTAAATATTCCAGAACCTAGTCTACATAGCATTTTGGTCAGCCTTTAGACTGAAAAAAGAAATTGGTATGTGATTGCCACAAGAACAGGCAGAAAGATAGAAAAACATAGTTATCCCAGTTATAAATCCTAGTACATTTCAAAACTTAATATATGACAAAGGAGTACCACATTCAGTGGAAGAGGGAAGCAGCAGTTAAATAGAAAAACATAGTTATCCCAGTTATAAATCCTAGTACATTTCAAAACTTAATATATGACAAAGGAATACCACATTCAGTGGAAGAGGGAAGCAGAAGTTAAATGGTATGGTGCAACCGACGGGCTGTTTGGGGGAAACATCATTTTGGAGTCATACTATATACTAAAATGAATTTGGTTAAAATAAAAATGTCAAAATGTGATATATCAAAACACTAAAATATTTCAATACTAATACCTCATGCCAGGGAAAAATTAGTAGCATATTTAAGACATCCAAAGAAAGAAAAAAAAGTCAAGGATTTTATAACCAGGCAAAATGACTTTCAAGTAAAAAATATAAAGCGCCTTACAAACTAGTATCAAAATGCATTTCTCAAGAAATACTGTTTCCATGAACTCTTCCTGAGGAATCTACTACAGAAAGAGCTAAAACACAGCCAAAACACATCAATATAAGGAAATAATATAAGCCCTAAACACACAGGTACTTATAGGACTATGATTAAATAACAGTTAAGAGAGAATGGTATGTAATAACTGTTGTGCTCACTATGTAGATAAGACTTTGTATTAGCTTGCTGGGTCTGCTATGACAAAGTACCAGAGTCTGGATGGCTTAAATAAAATAAGTTTATTTTCTCATAAAAAAAAAAAAAAAGAAAATAGAAATGAATATTCAAACTCTGGATTGTAGAGGATAAAAAAGAAATCACTAAGGATAAGTCAATAGATTTGACAATAGAAAAAAATATGAATTATGCAAATTAGAACTATCATGAACAAGATGCAAATAATGAACTGGGAAAAATTTTACAAAACTATAACAGATAAAAGATTGATCAATTTAATATATTAAAATGTATAAAAGCTAATAGAAATTACTAGGAACCAATAAATAGGAAGAAAGGGGATATGAAAGGACAATTCATAAAAAAAAACTCAACTGACTAGTAAGTATACTGGAAAATAATCAAGCTCACCAGTAATCATAAAATACAAATTAAATAATTACAAAAGTGTATTTTTCATTTACTAAGTTAGTAAAAATATTTCTAAATATCGAAAGCTGGTAAGAATACCACTGAACTGACAGTTATATACTACTAGGTGAACCCTTTTAGAAAGTAATTCAACAAGATATATAAAGACTTATAACCTAACTATTTTACAACTAGAAATTTCATCTCGGGAAGTAATATTAAATATGCTGAAGGTTTAATGCCCACAGATGTTCGTAAAAGCATTACTGTAAGAAGAGAAAAACTGAATGAAAATTAAATTTCCAGTAATAAAAGTACATCCCCTAAACTGATTGTTATACAGCCATTACATTTATATAAAGAAAAAAATCCTTAACAACCAAAAAGTGTTTATATTCTAATGTTAAGTGAAAAAAAATAGGATGTAAAATTCTATATAAGATCCATAACACATACCAAAATATAACCAAGAGACTGACTATACAATATAATATACAATTACTAAACTACATATGATAATAGAACTCTAACCTACAACCTCTGCAGCAACCAGACAAGGAAGCCAAACCACAATCCCTGCAGCAACCAGTCTGGGAAGTCAAACCACAATCTCTGCAATCATCAGCCCAGAATAATCAGGAAATGGCCAATGACTACCAGATCCCTAACTTCCGCAGCTCCCTCATTCACAACACTTCCAACTCAATACTGACTAGAGAAAGCCAAATATGCTTCCCAAACCAATCACATAGAATGCCTCCCTTGTACACAGCCTGCCTCCAGCTTCCCATGCCAACAACTTACAATAAGAACATACTTAAAGCTTACCCTTTTTTCACCACAAAGCTCTCCCACTCTTCTGCCTGCGTTTGGGACTCTGCCAAATACAAACGATGGTGGGTTTTGCCACAGCAAAATCTGAATAGCCTATGTCCTCATTTGGGTGGTCTTTGTTAATTTCCACATAACAAAAAACTAAACATAAAAAAATACTAAAATGAAATGCACCCAAAAAAATCAATAATCATTGCCTGCATCTGCATGTTTGAAGTATGGATACTTTTGAAGTTTTTTTCTCTCTACCTACTACTCAGCAATAAAAAAAGAACAAATCACTGACACCATCAACAACTTGAATAAATCTTAACACATTGTGTTGTATAAGACACACACACACACACACACACACACACACACACACACTCTGTATACCATATGATTCTATTTATATGAAGTCTCAGAACATGTAAGCATAAGCTATGGTGATAGAAGTCAGAATTTAGGCCAGGTGCGGTGGCTCATACTTGTAATCCCAGCACTTTGGGAGGCCAAGGAGGGCAGATCACAAGGTCAGGAGTTCGAGAGCAGCCTGGCCAACATAGTGAAACTTTGCCTCTACTAAAAATACAAAAATTAGCCAGGCGTGGTGGTACACGCCTGTAGTTTCAGCTACTCCAGAGGCTGAGGCAGGAGAATTGCTTGAACCCCAGAGACGGAGGTTGCAGTGAGCCGAGATTTCGCCACTGCACTCCAGCCTGGATGACAGAGTGAGACTCCATCTCAGGAGGAAAAAAAAAGAAGTCAGAATTTAATTGCCTCTGGAAAAGGATAAGGATGGGAAATTCACTGGAAAGTGTCAGGAAGAAATTTTTAGAAAATGTAAGATATTTTATATCTTGTTTTGACTGATGGTTACACAGATGTGTATAATTATCAAAACTCATTGAAATGAGTACTTAAAATCTGATTTTTATGTGTAAATTTTACCTCACATACTTCCCTCCCTGATCTTTCTTATTTTGCTTTCAATTGTCAACTCCCAAATGTTCAGCTCTTAGCACCCTATTCTCTCAATATTTATCTTTGTTCCAAGTTCTTTAAATCTATAGCTCTTCACAGAATAAAATATATGAGCACTGTAAAAAACATTAACAATAAATAAAATTATTTCTACTAAATATATAATCTTGCTTTGTATGAAGACAGAAATTGTTGTATTAGGGAGACTACAGGTTCCAAAATGGCAGCATACAACCAAAGTTGTTTCACTGCCCATACAGAAAACCTAAACAAATATACATCACTGAGATTATTACCAGAAATACCCCAAAACTCAAATATAAGAACAAGTCAGCTTCTAGGGTCACAGGGAAGTGAAAAAACTCCAAGCAGACAGTAAAGAGAATAAGATTTCCATATCTGTGATCCCACTCACACCAATCTGCCTTGCACCAAGAGCTAAGAAAATTTCCCCCAACTCATGATTTCTACTTTGTAAAAAGTGAGCTCAAGGTAGACAACCAGCTTCCCCCATATTTTGGGTTCCCTAACAGGAGCCCTGTCTCTACCCCAACCCAGGGAAAGCATTAGCAGTACCTGAAGTAAGAAATATCCCTGATGACAAAGAGAAACAAAGAGGGGAGGTGGGACTGCCATCCTAGCCTTGGAAATTCTGCTCTGTAACTCAGCCAAAGGAGACACCAAATTAGAGGCTGTTCAGCAGTATCATGCTATAGGAAGTTCATCCATCAGGTCTGCTGGGCATGAACCCCTAGCCAGCCTTCCCACACAACACAGAAAAGCAATTAAGAAATTTATCAGAAAAATTGGCTGGGCGTAGTGGCTCACACCTGTAATCCCAGTAATTTGGGAGGCCAAGGTGGGTGGATCATGAGGTCAGAAGATTGAGACCGTCCTGGTTAACACAGTGAAACCCTTTCTCTACTAAAAATACAAAAAATTTGCCAGTTGTGGTGGCATGCACCTGTGGTCCTAGATACTCGGGAGGCTGAGGCAGGAGAACCGCTTGAACCTGGCAGGCGGAGGTTGCAGTGAGCCAAGATCGTGCTACTGCACTCCAGTCTGGGTGACAGAGGGAGACTCCATCTCAAAAAAAAAAAAAAAAGAAAGGAAAGAAATTTATCAGAGAAATTTAACAAAAAGATTGAAATGATTCTTAAAAATCAAACAGAAATTTTGGAACTGAGAAATATATTTGCTGAACTGAAAAACTCACTAGAGGCCCTCAACAGCTAAATGTATGAAGCAGGGGAAGGATAATGTGAGCTCAAAGACAGGCTATTTGAAAATACGCAGAGGAGAAAAATGGAATAGAATGAAGATTGCTTACAAAATATAGAAAATTACCTCAAAAGACCAAATCTAAGAATTACTGATAGTCAAGATGGAGTTGAGCAAGGGTAAGGGGTAGACAGCATGTTCAAAGAAATAATAACAGAAAACTTTCTAAAACTAGAAAAGAGATAAACATCCAAGTACAGGAAGGTGGAATACCAAACAGATTCAACTCAAATAGGACTACCCCAAGGCATAATCAAACTCTCAATAGTCAAAGACAGAGAGAGGATCCTAAAAGCAGCAAGAGAAAATACGCAAATAACATAAAAAGGAGGTTTAATCCATTCAGACTTCTCAATGGAAACTATATAGGCCAGCAGGGAGTGGTGAAAGAAAAAAAAAAAAAAAGAACTGCCATCCAAGAATACTATATCCAGCAAACATGTTCTTCAACTATGAAGGAGAGACAAAGTCTTTCCCAGAGAAACAAAAGCTCAGAGAATTCAACACCACCAGACCCATCTTACAAGAAATGCTAAAGGGAGTTCTTCCATCTAAAATTTAAAAAAAAATTAACTTACAAAAACAAAACATGGGAAAGCATAAAACCCACTGGTAAAATTAAGTACACAGACAAACCCAGAATACTCTAATACTGAAGCTGTAGTGTGCAATCCACCTATAATTCTACTATGAAACCTAAAAGACAAACCTATCAAAGACAATAATACCCACAGCAATCCGTTAAGAGATAAGCAATTAAAAACATAAATGGAGATAACAAAATTCAAAATGAGGGAAGAGGGAGTTAAAGTATAGAGATTTTTTCCCACTCTTCTTCATTTGTCCTATTCTTTGTATGATCTAATATAAGTTGTCATCTCTTTCAAATAAACTTGTTATATCTATAAGATGTTCTCTGTAAGCCTCATGGCAATAACAGTGCAAAATCCTGTAGCTTCACTAAAAATAAAAAGCAACAAATTAAGACATATTACTAGAGAAAATCACTTAACCACAAAGGAAGACAGTAAGAAAGGAAGAAATGAAGAAAAGAGTTACAAAAGAACCAGAAAACATGCAATAGTATGGCAGTAGTAAATCCTTACTTATCAATAATTATCTTGAATGTAAATGGACTCAATTATCCAAGTAAAAGGCATAGGGTGGCTGAATGGATAAAGATACAAGACCCAACTATATACTCCTTACAATAAATCCACATTCTGAAACTGAAGGGGTGGAAAAAGATATTCCATGCAACTGGAAACCAAAAAAGAGCAGGAGTAGCTATATGTAGATCAGATGAAATACACTACAAATCAAAGACTATAAAAACAGACAAAGAAGATCACTATATAATAATAAAGGAGTCAATTCAGCAAGAGGATATAATGATTATAAATAACAACGCACCCAACACGAGAGCTCCCAAGTATATGAAGCAAACATTAATAAATCTAGAAAGAGAGGTATACTGCAATACAATAATAGTAGGGTACTTCAGCAACCCACTCGAGGCTGCTCCTCATCCCTTCCTCCAGAAGTGTGGACATTGTCATTAGGGCTTCATGGTTGCGGTTTAGGAGGTGAAGCCCAGGCAACGGTGTGCATTCCTTGTATCATCATTTCAATTCTGTTCTGGAAATACAAAAGAATTCTAGATCCATGCATATACCCTCTTATTTCTCCTTTTGTTAGTTATATATAGCCTATAAAGCTATACAGGAATACAACAATTTAAAATAAAGACAAGGGCCAGGAGCGGTGGCTCACGCCTGTAATCCCAGCATTTGGGAGGCCGAGGTGGGCAGATCACGAGGTCAGGAGATCCAGACCATCCTGGCTAACACGGTGAAACCCCGTTTCTACTAAAAATACAAAAAATTAGCCAGGCGTGGTCACGGGAGCCTGTAGTCCCAGCTACTCGGGGAGGCTGAGACAGAAGAATGGTGTGAACCCGGGAGGCGGAGCTTGCAGTGAGCCGAGATCGCGCCACTGCACTCCACCCTGGGCGACAGAGCGAGACTCTGTCTCAAAAAATAAATAAATAAATAAAAATAAATAAAATAAAGACGAGGTAGACTGTAAGGATGTAAACAAATGGATTACCAACAACAGGACCAATGGAAATCTCTGACAAAATGAAAGACTAAAGCCATTCTCCCAAAGGATCTCACTAGTTAGAAAAATGGACCTGATAATATGAAGCATCTTCTTTGTAATTGTCTCTGACATTTTTCTCTGAGACCAGAATTTAAGATAGATAGTTTAGATATTTACCTGATACTAATCACAAAATATATCTATATTTAAATATTACTGATCTAATTCCTTAGATTGTTTTTCATTAATGTAGATTTCATTTCTATTATTGCAGTTTTAATAATATGAATAAATAGAAGTCTTATGCCTGTAGATTTAGTAACTGTTACTAAATCAATACTTTAAAATATTTTGCCCTCTAGCATTCATTCACATGAATTTGACTGTTTTTGCTCTAATTTCTTTGGGCTTTTCTAATTTAAGTGGAATACAATTGTACTGTGAAACAATGCAGTGGGATTGTGTGGTGAAATGAAGGGTAGAATTTTTGAAGATGATAATGATGTGAAACATACTGGTATAATTACTGTCTAACACAATGAAATAAGCTTGTCCATGAGAATAGTAATAACTACTGATTTGAGAAAGATAGAAAAGATAGGGACGTAGGAGAAACGTCTTTGAGAAATGAAACATCTTTTACATAAATGTATAATGTAATTATAAAATTCTAATCCTTGTTGCATTCCTTCTGTTCCTACAAATGTGTTGAATATTCAGTTAAAAAAAAAATCTCTCTCAGTAACGGACAGATCATCCAGCCAGAAAGTCAACAAACATCACTGTAAACTACACACTAGACCAAATAGGCCTAATTGGCATTTATAAAATATTTCACCCAACTGCTGCAGAATACACATTTTTTTCATCAGCACATGGAATATTCTCCAGAATAGACCATATCTCAGGCCATAAAACAAGTTAGAACAAATTCAAGAAAGTAAAAATCATATGACATATCTTTTATGATCACAATGGAATAAAACTAAAAATCAGTAACAAGAGGATCCTCAGAAACTACACAAACACAGGAAAATTAAACAACATGCTCTTGAATGACAAATGAGTCAATGAAAAAAATTAAGAAGGAAATTTAAAATTTTCTTGAAACAAATGAAAATGGAAATACAATATACTGAAATCTATGAGATACAGCAAAAGCAGTACTAGGAGAGAAGTTGATAGCATTAAACACCTAGATCAAAAAAGCAGAAAGACTTCAAATAAACAACCTAAGATACACCTCAAGGAACTATAAGAGCAAGAACAATCCAACCCAACATTCATAGAAAAAGAAATAATAAAGATCAGAGAAGAAATAATAAAGTTGAGAATAAAAAAAACACTACAGAAGATCAATGAAATGAAAAGCTTGCTTTTGAAAATGTAAATAGACAAACCTTTAGCTAGACTAAGAAAAAAAGAATATCCAAATAAATACCATGAGAAACAAAAAAAATTAGAGACATAATAACTGAGACCACAGAAATGCGAGGAATTATTAGACACTATTGTGAACAACTGTATGCAAACAAATTAGAAAATTTAGAAGAAAGGAATAAATTCATGGACACATACAACCTACCAAGATTGAACCAAGAAGAGATAGAAAACCTCAACAAACCAATAATGAGGAATAAGATTGAAGCAGTAATAAAAAGTCTCCCACCAAAGAAAAGCCTGATGGTTTCATTGATGAATTCTACCTAACATTTTAAAGAACAAATAGCAATTCTACTCAAACTCTTCAAAAAAATTGAAGAGGGAATACTTCCAAACTTATCCTATGAGACCAGAATTATGAAAACCAGACAAAGACACAATAAAAAAAGAAAACTACAGGCCAGTATCCCTGATTAACACAGATGTGACAATCCTCCACAAATGCAAAACAATAAACGTGATATATCACACTAACACAACCAAGAACAAAAACCAATCATTTTAATAGATGCAGAAAAAGAATTTGATAAAATTCAATATCCCTTTATGAGAAAAACCCTCAGCAAACTGGATAGAAAAAAACATACCTCAAAATAATAAAGGCTATAAATGACAAACCCACAGGTACCATCATACTGAACAGGGAAAATTTGAAAGCCTTTCCTCTAAAGTCTGGAGCAAGACAAGGATGCCCACTTTCACCACTTTTAGTCAGCCTAATACAGAAAGTCCTGACTATAGCAATTAGGCAAGAGAAAAAAATAAAGGGGTATCCAATTGGAAGAAGGGAGTCAAATCAGCCTTGTTCACAGGTGATATGACCTTACCTTACAAAAACCTAAAAACTCCACCAAAAAACTGTTATAACTGATAAGCAAATTCAGTAAAGTTGCAGGATACAAAATAAACATGCAAAAAAATCAGGAGCATTTACATGCGCCAACAGTGAACAATCTGAACAAAGAAATCAAAACGCAATCTCATTTAGAATAGCTACAAAGAATATAAAATACCTATGAATACCTATGAATAAATTTAATTAAAGAAGTGAAAGATCTCTACAAGGTAAAACACTGACAAAGGAATTGACGAGGACACAAACAAGTGGAAAGAATTTCACACTCATGAACTGGAAAAATTAATATTGTTAAAATGACAATTCTACCCAAAGTAATTTACAGATTCAATGCAATCTCTATCAAAATACCAATGTTTCTTCACAGAAACACAAAAAAAAATCCTAAAATTTATATGAAACCACAAAAGATCCTGAATAGCCAAAGAAACCCTGAGCAAAACAACAAAGCTAGAGGCATCACACTACCTGACTTCAAAATATACTACAGACCTAAAGTAACCAAATTAGCATGATACTGGCATAAACAAAGATACATAGACCAATGGAACAGAACAGAAAACCCAGATATAAATCCACACATTTACAGCCAACTAATTTTTGAAAAAGTTACCAAGAACATTCAGTGGGGAGAGTTTCTTCAACAAATGGTGCTGGGAAAACTGGATATCTATATGCAAAATAATGAAACTAGGCCCTGTCACTATATACAAAAACCAAATCAAAATTGATTAAAGACTTAAATCTAAGAACTAAAATTATGAATCTACTAGAAGAAAATGCTGGAGAAATGTTCCAAGACATCAGTCTAGGCAATGATTTTTTTGTAAGACCTCAAAAGTACACACAACGAAAGCAAAAATGGAAAATGGGATTGCATCAAGCTAAAAATATTCTGTATAGCAAAGGAAACCATCAACAAGGTAAAGAGACAACCCACAGAATGGGAGAAAATATTTGCAAACTATTCATCTGACAAGGGGTGAAGAACCAGAATATATAATAAGCTCAAACAACTCAATAGCAAAAATAAATAAATAATCTGAGTTTTAAATGGGAAAAGATCTGAGTAGACATTTCTCAAAGAAGACATACAAATGGCCAACAGGCATATGAAAAAATGCTCAACATCACTAATCATCAGAGAAATGCAAATCAAAACTACAATGAGATATCATCTCACTCCAGTTAAAATGGCTTTTATAAAAGAGACAGGTAATAATGAATGCTGGCAAGGATGTGGAGAGAGGGGAACTCACACATTGTTGGTGTGAATGTAAATTAGTACAGCCACTAAGGAAAACTGTATGGAGGTTCCTCAAAACTAAAAATAGAACAACCAGCAATTGCACTACTCGGTATATGTTCAAAAGAAAGGAAATCAATATATCAAAGAGATATTGGCACTGTTACATTTATTGCAGCACTACTCACAATAGCCAAAATATAAAATCAACCCAAGTGCCCATCAATGAATGAATGGATAAAGAAAATATGGTATATATACACAAGGGAATATTATTCAGTCATAAAAAAGAATGAAATCTTGTCACTTGCAGTAACATGAATGTAATGAGAAGTCATGTTAAATGAAATAAACCAAGCACAGAAAAACAAATATCACAGGTTCTCACTCAGGTAGGAGCTAAAAAGTACATCTCATGAAGACAGAGAGTATATTGTTTGCCAGAGGCCTGGAAGGAGGGTGGGAAAATGAAGACAAGTTGATTAATGGGTACAAATATATATATTTTGAATCAAGAAATAATATCTAGTATTTAATAGATCAGTAGGGTGACTATAGTTTACAATGATCTATTGTACATTTCAAAATAGCTGGAAGAGAATAATTCTAATGTTTTTAGCATAAAGCAAAGACAAATATTTAAGGTGACGTATATCCCAATTATACTGATTTGATATTTACAAACCATATAAATGTTTTAAATTACCATATGTACCCCAAAAATATGTGCATCTATTATGCATCAATTTAAAAGTATTAAATTTTTAAGAAGCAGGAAAGTACCCCAAATCATTTTTCAAAAAAAAAATTTGTAAGAAATTTGAGTCTGTTAGCAGAGAACAAAGAAGCATGATTTAAAGATAATTATTTGATAATTATACTGAGCTGACCCAGATTAAATACTTTCCAATCCTTTCAAAAAGAAATTGGTGAATAAAAGAGAAACTGTGACTTAAAGAGTTACTTTCGTATGTTAATAGTCTCAATAAGTATTAGACTTGTTAGGGAAATGAAATTGTACCAAAAGAAATATATTTCAGACATTTTCCAGGTTCTTTTATTTTAGAATAAAGCAGCTTTTAGCCAAGAAGATATAAATGGAAATTAACATAGGCTAAGGACAAAGAGAAAGATATCAAATACATTATAAAATAATTCAAAAATAGTAGAAATACAAGGAAAAAAGAAAGAAAGAGACAGGGAGCAAAAAAACCTGAGCCATTGAAAAAAGAATAAGAGGGAGTTTCATAAAAGTTATAAAACATGAATTAAAGTTCACATGATGTAAATTATTCTGTTAATCACATTAAAATATAAATGGTTCACAGAGTGTGTGCTTGCCTTGCAAAGTCATTCCTAAAAAAGGGTTGCCCAATTAAAAAGTCTAGTTTAGAATCATATATAAAATATGCTTTCAATAAATGTTTAAATAATAAGTAACTGAATTCACCAAATAGCTAGTGGGGAGCTGTGGCAGAGCACAAGAATATTGAATATTACCTCAAACAGCAAAGGAGTTTTGGTTAAGATGAAACTGGAAAAAGCAAAGAAAGAGCCAACAATAAACTACCATAGGATGGCAGAGAATCAGAATAAGGTACCTTTTGAATTATGTAAATATTCAATAAATGTAATGTACAGATTATTTATAAATGGAACTCAATACATCAAAATGTGTTCCTCATCAGTATTTTAATCCTCTTCCTACCACCTTCCAACTCAGTTCTTCAAGTATATTTAGCCTATTAACCCAAGTGAAGAAATCTAAGTTACTAATAAAACAGATTTTGTCCAATTCAATTTCAGCTTTTTGCTATATAATTCTATTCTAAGTAACTGTAGAGTGAATCCTTATCAAATGTTCTGTTCTTTCACTTAAAAGAAGAGCTATACAAAACTGAATCTCATCCTATCCCTCAAATTATTTATTTATTTATTTCATGGGTAAAAATCAGTAACGTTGAGAATCCACCTCACTTTTATTCACTTTGACACATACTGTGTCTTTTATGACACTTTTCTCTTTTCTAACATTCTCAGCAAAGCCTATCCTATAGTAGCATCACAAAATAGTACAACAGCTCTCAGGATGACCTAAAAATATTCTTTTTCCCATTCCTTAAAGAATGTTACCATGTCTAGAAAACATTTAAAAGTTCTCTATTTGGCATCTTGTGGTACACTGAACAACCCACCCACTTCCTCACATATAGCCTTCTAGTTCATAAAGAAATCAGGACAAAGAGTTATTTTTTTCATTAATATACACAAAAGCACAAGATAGCTGATCTTATCAAAAAACCTGTGACTTTACACAAACTGAATTAAGATAACTTCAAGCCAAGTGAAAATGCAACATGAACCTTGCTTGGATGCCAATCTAAACAAATCAACTACAAAAAGACAATATGGGACAACTAAGGGAATTTAAACACTAACTACATGTTAGATTATATAAAGAAATGTTAATTTTCTTCACTATGATAATGGTCTTTAGGATTAATAGTGTAAGCACAGGGTGAGGAGAAGTGCTTATCTGCTCTGTAAGGTTTTTACAGGTGGAAGGGTACAATGTCTGAGATTTGCATTAAAATAATGAAATGTAAGAGTAGCAAATAAGAGAATATAAATCAGCAAGATTTGCCAAGGATGATCATTGTTGAAGCTGGGGGTTCAATACTATTCTCTCTGTTCTTGTGTGTTTAAAGTTTTCCATAAAATAACTCAAAAAACAAAAACAGGTGAGGTGATGAACATCTAGGTACAGAGAATAACAGCCCCCAAAGAACCTGTGAATATGTTAGCTTATATGGCAGAGGGGAATTAAGGTTGCAGATGGAATGAAGACTGCTAATCAACTAACCTTGTAATGGGGAGATTAACCTGGATTATCCTGGTGGGCCCAATGTAATCATAGGCATCCTTAAATATTAAAAAAGGGAGGCAGGAAAGTCAGGGTGGTGACATGTTGGAAAGATCAACTGGCTTTGAAAATGGAAGGGGGCTGGTTTTGAAGATGGGAGGGGGCCATCGGCCAAGGAATTGTGATCAGCCTCTAAAAGCTGCAAGAGTCAAGAAAACAAAATCTCCTCTACAGCCTCCAGAAAGGAATGCAGTTCTGTGAACACATTAATTTTAGCCCAGTGACATCCATGTCATACTTCTGACCTCCAGAACAATAAGATGATAAATTCGTGTTGTTTTAAGCCAATAAGTTTTTGGTAATTGAAGCAGCAATACAAAAGTCATATGATCTTCTCATAGAATCACATGCTTTTATTTACCTGAAAGGACATAAAGCACAGATTTCACTGAGAATTCAAATGAAATATGTATTCTTATCAGGTAAGGAGAAAAATTCCAAATTAGATACCTACTGTTTTATTTTACTTACTTATTTATTTATCTTAGAGACAGGGGTCTTGCTATGTTGCCCAGGCTGGAGTACTATTAGTGGCTATTCATGATCACAGTGCATTAGAGCCTCGAACTCCTATCCTGAAGGGTTCCTCCCCCTCATCCTCCTCAGTAGCTAGGACTACAGGCATGTGCTACCATGGCCACCCCTTGCTATTTTAAAAGGCAAATCTTACCTCTATTCCCCACCCTACCATTCCCTTTCTGGTAGCCTCAATTGCTTTTCTGTGGATTAATTGCATCACCACCCCTACAGTGTACCAAAATGATATTAAAACCTACTGTCTCTGCTATTTTTTCACCACTTTTCTTTTCTATAAAGTCAATTCCTCACACATCTCCCCTACTTCTACTCTTGGTACTGATGCTACTAATTATATTCTCTATTATATTGTTGACCTTAATTCTATCCATCACCTTACTGAAAATATGTTTACCCTAATCAATTTCCTCTTGGCCTAATTCACTTGTCTCTGACAATTCTGTGTTATTTGTTTGTTGTTTTGAAGTTTGTTTTGTTTTTACTATCTTTGACCACTCCACAAAGCTGGGACATGCCTGAGTTTCTCTCTTACTATTCTCTCTAAAGAATGCTTCAGATTACCTGCCTCTACTCTTGAATTTTCCTCATATTATTCTGCTCGGTTCTTCTCTGTCTCCTTTTCTAGTTTCACATTTTCCATCTACATGGATGTTTACCAACTGTAAGCATTTCCCCCAGACTCAATCTAACTTCAAAATTTATTATACTACTAATAATTTTCAAACTTTTACAGTTTACAGATTTATAGACAAGTTTTTAGTCAATTTATAGGAACAAAGTAAACTGAACATTAACCAATCCAGCTAGTTTTCTTCAGAGTGTAACTAATTTTATTGTGTTCATTTTGGTAAAGTAAAAATAAAAGAAAGATAAAAGAAGTATAACAATTTTCTCTCAATTCCAATCTTTACTTTCTAAATCCAGGTATTAAATCTGCATCTAAAACCACCAAAATGATCAGTTTTATTTATAATAAAATTTACATGTCCAAATAAGATGTCGATTTTATGCTATTGTCAATTCAAAGAGATATTTATTGAATTATAAAACACTTGCCAGGTGCGGTGGCTCACGGCTGTAATCCCAGCACTTTGGGAGGCTGGGGTGGGCGGATCACCTGAGGTCAGGAGTTTGAGACCAGCCTGGCCAACATGGTGAAACCCCGTCTCTACTAAAAATACAAAAATTAGCCGGGCGTGGTGGTGGGCGCCTGTAATCCCAGCTACTTGGGAAGCTGAGGCAGGAGAATCGCTTGAACCCAGGAGATGGAGGTTGCAGTGAGCCAAGACTGCACCATTGCACTCCAGCCTGGGCAACAAGAGCAAAACTCCACCTAAAAATAAAATAAGATAAAAATAAATATAAAACACTTAACTGAAACTAAAACAAATACAATATTTTCAATTTCAAATTCATTATATTGATTATATAGCATCATTATATACCATTATATTCAAAATAATTCTATAAACCATCAATATTAACTGGTAATTTTGGGCTTCCAATAAAACTCAAATCATATTCTTCTTTCTAATATGTTAGATAAGTCCAGAATATATCATAGGTGATTTTGCTGATAAATCAATCCCAGAAAGCATTATTTCATTCTTATTATAGTCAGTTGGCTGAGAACAGTTTATGTCTTAATTATTTTTAAAGGTGTATAATAAATACAATATATTTTCAATAATAAACATGTCAAAATACCTTCTTGCTGCATTCATTCAGTGACTATGAATGCTTCATTTAATCAAGTCTCTCCCTAAGTATCATGGTGAACCCACTATATACTTTTTGGAGGGCTTATATTCTATTCTTTATAACTACCTTCTCTAAATCCTTTAAATGTTATTTCTATTTTTGGCTGTATAAAACTTAATCAATGATTTTTTTCCTAGTCCTTATAAAGACAGTTTAGTATTACCTAGGAAATTAGGAACAATTATTCAGAATACTTAATCTATATTTTTAAATAAAAACGCTAGTATATTGTGCACATTAAAAGATTAGCCTTTCAAATACTAAAAAGAATTAAGAAAAGTTATCCTCCTTTTAAGACTAAAAAAGAAAATAACTGTCACTATAAACAAAAGCATTTTTATAAAGATCATCATTTTGATACTTAAGTAGGAACAAAAAGTTCCATTTTTCTCTTATGAGAAAAACAAACTCAATTTGAAAGTTTAAAGCAGGGCTTCTACTTGATACTTTTAATGGATATAGTCAAAAGTCATTGCTATTAAACCAATATGTAAGTGGCTTTACAGAACTATAATACAGGAAATCAGTACAATCATCCTATTATTAAAAGTAAATATGAACTTAATCCTGAGATTTTTCACAGGAACATCGTCAAATGAGGCTAGAGAAATATCTACAGAAATGCACTAAATTTTAAGAAACAGAAATTTCGTTTACTTAGTGATAATACTCCTACAGAAAAACATACTTGGAAATTATGTTAAGATTTTAACTTAGCTCTGTATGTATGAGAAATACAAAAAGTATGACGGCACTGTTTGTTTTTAAGAACATTTAAGAACCACCACACTATACAAGACCAACAACCCAATTTGCTGACAAATACTAGCACCAAAGGACTTTTTGTGAGAAAATGTGATTGCCCTCTAGGTAACTTTAAAATTTTACAAACGTACTTCTACACATCTATAATCCTTTACTCAAGCCTGCCCCTACACCCTTATGCTCTCAGGATAAGCAAAGCAGACAGCCTGGAGTACTGAGTCATCTGGCTTTGGTTTCTGGTTCTTAAAAGAAAAAAAAATCTTTAATTCTTTCTGGTTATTACGCTTGTTAGCATCTTAGTCTTAATGGTAGATTAATTCTTCCTTGCCTCCATTACCATTCTTAAAGATGCCTCTACTGTGCTTTTTGGTGACAGGAGAATGTAACAAATCCACACATCTCAGGGAATCTTCTATTATTCTTTTTATGGATGAAAACTTTATAACTGTGGAACTGTGATCATGATCTTTTCCCAATCTCAGTTGCAAAACCGCTTAAGTAAAATGGAGTGAAATTAGGAGAATGTGGAGACAATGAAAATCTTGAGGAAGAGATAGTATTCAAGGATATCTGGGCATTTAATCTCCTTTCATCTTGCTAGGGTCCTGGAAAGCCCAACTCTCTACAGTTCATGCCTGTATTTCTGATCTATACCTATTTACCTGGTACGATCTGATATTATGTCAGATATGAGCATCATTGTTATAAATCCATTTCCCTGCAGAAGTTATACTAGTTAACTACATGTTGTTTCTGACATTGTGACCATTTATAAAAACAGTTTATAAATGATTATGAATAGTGAGTTGGCTAATTTAAGAGTTTATTCAGAAATTTAGGGATTATGTCATCTGGTTCTGGTAATATACTTATTTTACTCTTTTTTTGGTAATATACTTATTTTTATCTTTTGTTAATTAGGTCTAGAACACCCTGTGTGTTTGTCACTGTCAATCTAGAACTTCTGAGTTGTTCCCCCAAAAAGATCATTTAAAAATGAGAATGTTCCTAATATCTTCTTCAATAAAAACTGAAATAAATTTAATTAAATCCTCCTACAATCTTCTTTTCTACATCTGTTTGAAAAGCATATACCATGTTCCTAAAGTGGTATCAACTCTTTCACTAGATGCTCTCCACCTCTTTATATAAAAGTTATTTCATAAAAGCAACTCCAAGAAGCTGTTCAAAATAATATCTAGTTTGCTTTTAACACAACAATCTGTATAGCTTCCCTCCTTTAATTTATTCATTTATTTGCTCAACAAATATTTGACTGCCTTCAATGGGCCAGGCACCATTCTATACATAGATGATACAGATGTGAACAAAATAAAGCCTTGCTTTATACATATCACTGTATATATAATCTAGAAGGACTTGACACTTGGTTTGCTTCAAAAGCATGTAATTTCTTACTCTGCTTTAAATAAACCAAAACTGAAAGTTGTAGATATGAATTTGGAAAGGTTTATGGAAGAGAAGTCCACACAGAACTCCAATCACAGAACCAACATTCAACAGAAAAACGTAGTCATTTATCAAATGATTTGTAAATTGTATATTTAGATGTTTTCAATTAAAATAAAATGTTTAAGGCATATATAAGTAGTAATTGCTCTCTGCTTTAATATCTTTTTCAATTAATCGACCAATCATGTATATGCATCTTTACTCATTTAAAGTGTATCAAGTGCCCACTATAATGGTTTTCACTAATGGCTGTGCATAGAAATCTCCTGTGGGGCCATTCAAAAAAATGCAAGTGCCTAGGACTCATCCCTAGAGATTTTGATTCTCTAAGAATGGGGAGGTGCTGGAAATCTCTATTTTAGACACCAGAGTTAAGAAATACTGGCCAGCTAGATAGTGTATACCCTAGCAATAAGAAGGAAACAAGAAAAAAAAATTATTTGCTTTTCAAAGAGTTCATAGTATAACGGCAGTGACAGATTTTTAAGAAACTTTTTTAATCACAGGAAGATGCTAAATTCACACTATAGGTATATGCCAGATGCTACAGAAAAACATAGAATAGGTTTTTAAAAAAGAAAAAAAAGAACCCTGGTGGGTAGTTGAGGTGGCAGTGGTCAGAGCTAGTCTCATAGAGGTGATGTTTGAATTATGAGGTAAAAGATGGCTGGGAATTATCCAATCGTATGAAAGTAGAAAAGGTATTCTAGTCAGAAACGAAAGAATGAGAGAAGGCATTGAGATATGAGAAAATATGGTATCTTTTAGGGAATGCAGTATACTTAGGGAATCAAGCAAATAAAAATGGAAAGGTAAACAGGAATCTCTTCTGAAGGAAACTCTATACCCATCAAGGTAAGCAATTTGAAATTTATTTTATAGAGCAATAGTTTCAAATTGTATTTCACAGAATTCAAGTTCAGGAAAGGCAGTTCATGTATTTCACAAATACCTGGACAATGCAGGCATTCCAATGTATACACATTCTGAACGATTGCAGTAACCCAATGCATTAACTTTTTTTTTTTTTTGGCTGACCTTGAACCAAAGTTTCTTCTGCCATTTCTATGACTTTGAACATCTCATAGATATTTTGTTTATTATGAAGGGTACAGCTTTATACTTTCACTTTTTTAAGGCTAGCGAACATCCTACTACCTTCCTATGGGCGATATTACACAATAAAAAACAAATATAAAAAGTTTTTTTATCAATTGGCTGTATAATTTATTCTTATAATTTCTGAAACAAATGTGTGCCCATGAGTTGCCACATTTTTTTGTTTGAATAGATGTTATTTACTGTGGTTTCAAATAAGACTTTCATTTTAAGAGCATCATTGCTGTAGGAAACCAATATAGAATTTTTAGCAAGGAAATGACATAATTAACATTGTATTTCAGAAATAGCCATTATTGTAACAAAATGAAGTGTAATCCAGTAAAACTAGAAGTAAAGAGATCAGTTAGAAAGTGATTTCAAAAGACCAAGCAAGAAAATATGACGGAACGAACAAGTACTGGGGATGTAGAAAAGGTCATAAATTTCAGAAATACTAAGGAAATAGAATAGAGGGGATGTGATGACTAATCAGATAGAAGAGAGGAGGCTTTCAAACAGCCAAGTCTAGATTTATACTTTAGTTTTGCCCATGTTGAAAAGGTAGAAGCACCCAGAATATGACAGCTCCTTAGAACTCAGAAGAGAAATTTTTTTGCACATTTAATCAGGGAGTCTATGAGTCTAAATAAAGTCCCCATTTCAGTAACGGTCTAATTTTGGGATTTCCTTAGTCCATTTTTATATGTTTTGTTATAGACCAGGTAATTATAATACATCCATATAACTATTTTTTAAAATTAACTATATTCCTATCCAAAGATGTTACAGTATTTTCCACATTTAGTAAGACTTCAGTACTGTTAGTGGACAACTTATATAGCTATCTATCTTATAATTTATTTGGAAATCATAAGCTAATATTATTATAACCCACTAGTTATATTCGCTCTACTATGAACACGTGATTTTACAAACTTTAACAATAATATTCGTATATATTTTATCATCCTTTCCATTTATGCATTACCTTCACCTTATTCTGTCTGATCCTCCCAATAACCGTCTCTTAGTTAAGGAGAGCAGATACACTTATTCCTACACTGCAGATGCAGAAATCAAGGCTCAAGGGAGATAAATGGCTTACCCAAGAGTATATGGCTGTCAACTAGCAGAACTTTAAATAAAACACAAATTTTCTGATTCCTAGGCCAGTGCTCTTCCTACCATGCCATATGTTTTTAAAGTAGTATGTATTTAACTTCTGGTACTTCCTATGACTATCTCTTGCCTGAATAAATGGGAAGATAACTATGTATTCCATTATCTCTTGCATTCACCCATTTCCCTGAAGTTTTTTATTTAAAACCTTCTCTACAAGCTTTATGACCTCAACAGCCCAATGCCATTCTGTTTCAGAAGTCTATCTTTCCTATACCAGTTTTACCTCTGGTAAAATTCTCCTGTATCACTGTCATATACATGAATTGAGAGAATTTGGAAAAAATTTTCAGAATCTGATCGTGAAAATTGCAAACACATCAAAGATTAGAGAATCAGGGCATAATTCCCCTGCCTAGCAGTTCAAATTTGAACTCCAGGACTCTTTTACATTTGTCTCATAACCACTGTTAAGACCTTCCCTCATCGAACAGAATATCTGTTATTTCCTATTGAGGAAAAAAATTATTACTGTACACAAATTTCACAAAGTAGCTTAGAATTAAATCTGTTTATCTAAATTAACTCTAAATAAACTTGCTTTTATGTAAACTAATAACTATAGATTTAATGTTTTTATAATGACCCTGCTAGGAATATAGGCTGAGACAGTGATTGAAATATACCTCATTATACATATATCACTTGTTTACCACAAATATAATTTTAATAATTTCAAAAAACTTTTCTTTTGTGAAAGTATTTTTAAAAATTGTTAATTTCTGTAATTTTGCAATTTTTCTATTTCTTATGTAGCCAAACACATTTACAAAACTATATTCATTTATATGACATAAATAACTTAGTAGCCTTTGTTGCATATAATAGGCACATTCCAAGACAACTCAAAAAAGGGCAATAAAATTATAAATCACTTTATGTCATAAAATATAACAAATATAGCAATAACAATATCTCTATGCATTAACCTAATGCTTGTTTTATAAACTCTCATCTTCTCTACCTACCAGAAACTCTCTTTTGCATATTCATTAGAAGTTCAATATCAAAGTATAATTACATAAAATGTTTTCTTACTAAACCAGAACACCCGCTATTTTTGAGTTCCTACAACTGCAAGTTCTTATAAGCCTGTGCATTTGTCTGTTTGTGTATTTATGAAGAGTTTAAGAATGTGAAGGTGTTTTTATTCGGAATTTTAAAGCAATGTCATTGGCCCCCTTAAAATGAACATATTTTCCTATTATCTACTTAATCCTAGCAACATGCTAGTAGCTTTATTCATTTCATACTGAACAGTGAAATAACAATATTTTCTCTGATAACACAAAAAACCAAACGACTATTTGCTTCTTCAGTTAATATAATACACAAATATTAAAAATTTTGTCCACTATTGGATCTTAACATTATCTTGCAAATTCTACTTTTTGTGTGTGCTCATTTCCCACTTAAACTATCATTGCTTTTTAAGTTGACGCCTAAAATATCTATTAAGCCAAACTGATCTACCCACAGAGCTTTCTGCAGCAGACTCTGATGCTGACATCTCAACAGTTTCCTGTTCCTGGTATGTTTTTCCCCCCTTGTTTCCTTACAACAGTATAATAAAGAAATAATAGGCTTTAAGCCAATTCAAAACTTACCTTGCAAATCTGGAAATACTCCGAAGTCAAAGTTTCCTGAATTTCCTCTCTGAGAACCCCTGCAGTCCCCGCCGGATGTACGGAACCACTTCCAGCCCCACCACCACTGTTACTGCCACTGCTGCTACCACTGCCAGGGGAGGAGGCAGTTAAGCCATCCAAAACTTTTCGGAAATTAAACTTCTTCATTTTAAACACTGTTGAGAAATACAAAGGAAAAAAAGGGAAAGAGGTGACTTAACACGTGCAATTAGACCTTGGTAAAAGCCTTTCTCTTTTCATTAGTCAAGTCAGTCCCCATTTTATGAGCATTGGTTACGACCGACTGGAAAAAAAGAGTCAGGATTCGTTTTGCCAAATTTTAATTCTAAAAAGCATATCCTTTTTAAAAAAAGATAAATATAACACAACTCCAAAAGCAACAGTATTCCCTCCTCACACATCAGATTTTCAAGGACTGTATCCCCAGCTGTAACTACGCTTTATCAGCACTGGGGTAAAAATAAAAGGCAGTGTCATCATCGTCATTAGCATTATATCATCATTATTATACAATCAAACCAGAGTTCAACAGACCAAGACTCTGTCTCTCTCTTAAGGGCGGACTTTCCTTCTTCGAAACGTTCGGCTCAGAGTATTTTATTTTCAGAAAAACGACGTTGGGGGAGCCGGTATTTACTCTGCCACCACCTTCCGGGCTCTTCCCCCATCAGCTTCAACGCTTCCTTTTTTGTCACTATGAAAGGCGGGGAGGGGGGTACTTTTTCTAGTCCCCATCCCCCAGCAGCCCGGACCCCAAAACATCTGCGAGTGACCCACAGCAACAGCTGCCGGGGAGGGGGGGAGGAGGAGAACGGCGACACCGTCTGTTTCCACTTGTCCCTCCGCCTCCCCCTCACCTCCCCCTCATCTCCCTCCCCGCGTCCTCTTTCCCCCCTCTCCCCATCTCCTGCTCCCCTCCCTCCACCTCTGCCCGCAGCCGCCGCCGCGCTCTCCCGCCTGTTCGCCCGCCCGCCGTCCGCTCTCCCCGCTGCACGGCAGCCGCTCTCGGGGGACGTGAAGCGGTGGCGGCGACGGCTGCGGCCCGAGTCCCGCCTCAGCCTGCTGGGCGCGCAGAGCCGCCGCTCCCGCTGTCCCTCCCCCAGGCCCAGCGCTGAGGCGCGGGGCTCTCGCCCGCCCGCGGGCGCGCGAACACACAAACACCTCACGCCGAGGCATTCGCGCTCCCAGCCAGAACACACACAAACACCCTCACACGGGCATTCGCGCGCTGGTGCGCTCGCTCTCTGTCTCTGTCTCTCTCTGTCTCTCTCTCTCTCAAACACACACACACACTCACACAGACACACACAGGTGCGAGGGAGCCACAGCTGGACGGCGGCAGCGGCGGCGGCGTCCCAGAGGGATGACTATCTGACCCAGGACTTAGGCACCTTCCTCAGACGCCTCTAGCCGCCTGCCAGCCCGGGAAGCTGAGGGGGCCGAGGTAGGCGGGCTCCGGCCGCTTCTCTGGGCCCTCTGGTCGCGGCGCCTGGCGCTCTCCGAGGTCCTAACCGAGCAGTCAGGCTCCAGAGCAGGCTCCGCCCTCCCGCCGTGGGAGGCAGGCCCCGCCCCCGGGCCGGCCCCTAGCTTGCCCCGCCCTGCTTCTTCCCCGGCAAAGCTGGGAGGTGAAGGGGGCGGGGTGCCCGGGGACGTCAAAGGGCGGGAGTAGCTTCGGCGCCAATCCTAGATTCGATAGGGTAAGTTCTGTGGTCTCCAGGGCAGAAGAAATCTGTGGATAGGCCGAAGGTAAAGCCAATGACAGTGGGAGGGGGGAATTTAGAGAAGTAGGTGAGGTATTTGATTGACAGCGGTATTGGCCAGTATGCTGGGGGTCGTGCTCTGGGGGATGTAATTGGCGCTACCTGTTGAAGGACTCAAGTGTGAATCAATAGAATGCCTGCAAGCGTGCGAATTTGGACGCCTGGAGTCTGAGGATGCGGGAAGCGTTGCTTACCTTAGGTATGGCTCTGGACAGTATGGTGAACTGAGCAAGTGTTTTGCACCTTTTCACTTCTGCGAGCCTCTTCCCGGTCTTCAGGAGCATCTATCTGGCTCCCATCACTCTCCTGCTACCTGCACTCAACTTGTATCTGTGATTAACCCCTGCTGTTACCAATAATGGCTTAATGGTTCGTATCTGCCAAGGAGAATTGTATTTCAACAGTTTCAGAATATATAGCCTTCTAGAGCCTAAGGAATTGATTGCTTACCTTGCTCTCTAGTAAGTAGAATTACTCCTTCCCCATCATCCTCACATATACAAAGATATTTAATTTCTTTAAAGAAATATTTCTCACTCTGTAAACCGTATCAAGAATATATTTTAAGCTATTTCTGTGAGTCACAATAATCATTTTGAAAGATGTATTATTCAGTGCAGAAAAAAAAACTGTATCAGGATAGATTTGGTTCTGAGCCCTCACCTGCTATTGACTTCGGGAAAATTTGGACCCCGATGTCTTTGCGAAATGAATGGCAGTTCAGCGGGTCACAGCTAACTGAGACTTCAATTTGGGCATCACAACAGAACTCATTAGTGATCATTTCAAATATTGTCTTACATCTTACAATCTTTGACCTCTTTTTTTCTTTTCTTCTTTTTCTTCTTTTTCACCTCTCCTCTTCTCTCTCTCTCTTTTCTCTCAATCAAGGGAGAGAGTGGGAAGGAGGAAGCAGGAGACTTGAAGGATGATGACTTGTCCAAGGACATAGCAAAGAAATGGTAAAGATGAAATAGAGCTCAGTTTTTCAGATCCTCAGCTCAACGTTGAATCTTTCTGTCCTGAATGACTATTTCACTCCTTTTGGGACTCCCTACACTGCTGGTAGTCTCTCATTGCCACAGCTAGACAGTAACCTTCTTGAAGGCAAGCATGGAATTGTATATTTCTCCTAGATTATTTAGCACCAGGCACAATATTTCACTTAAAATAGGCACGTAAAGGGTTCTGAAGAGTTGGTTTATTAATATTTTTTATTAAAGATATATGAGTTGGTACCCAATTACATAATGTTTGAAAGGGGTAAAAATAATGGTGGAAATAAGTGATATGTCTGACACAAACTAGATCTTGGTAGGGTTCCAAATTCTGTATTGGGTCCCTAACAACAGGTATCTTTTTACTCTTTTCCACCTTTTTTCTTCTCTTCTTCCTGGCCCATTGCTCACCTCAAAGTATGGACGCTAGTTAAGGATAAAGAGTTTGCTTTCCTTGTTTTATGTCTGTCTTTTCTTTTTAAAAACAGAGGCAAGGAGGGTTATAATAAAGTGGCTGAGTTTTCATTTTTCTAATAAATGAAAGCAAGCCTATAGCAAGTAGTGGTTTGACATTTTGATGGGAGCGAAGAAGGAGAATAGCCCCAATTCAGCAAAGTGAGATGTAATGTTTGCAAACAAAACCTCTTAAACTGATCATCACTAGCACCATATTATCACAAACTAAATGATGGTCTTTATTCTAAAAATTGGGGGAGAGCTGAGGAAAAAAGTACACAAAAGATTGACAGAGATCCTTCTTGAGGACCCTGGAGAGAATTCAATGGACTGCCTGAGTTAGATGGGACAACAAATAGGTATAGGAAGTGGGAGAAAAGCCAAGTCAAAATGTATTCATGTTTCCAAATAAATATTGGAAGCCTAAAAAAATATGATCATTAGGATGCTTAGATTGTGGACTATTTGGGATTATTTCAAATATCTGTGTTCCTCCACAGTGAATAGCATAATGTCTTCTACATAGTAAGTGCCCAGTGAATATTAATTTGAATGAATGGCAGCAAGTAAAAATCATAACATAATTGCAGTCTCAGAGAGCCTGTGCACACAGGATATTGTGATGCCAATTCACAAACTGTGAGCAAAGGATAGAATTAAGCAAGAGGCAGAGTACATTGTGTGTATGAGGAGACAGCAGAAACAATAGCCTAAAAATCTTACTAGGTGAGAGAAGCATAATGAAATATCTATGGAAGTAAATTTCATCCTGGATTAATTAAAAAGCAATAAGATGTTATTTTATAAACCATCTATTAACAGCAATGAGACCAGACCACAGCATATATTTTATAAATAATGTGAGAAACTTCAGAGTTGGATCGGGTAATAATAATGATGACCCCTTATCATTCACTGCAAACTGGAAGAATACTTTGTGGAGAGGAATGGCTGAGGTACAGCTTCTGAATAAGGCTTGATTTCTTCCTAAAATGACAAGTATGAAGAACTGCAAAAAGAAAAATACTTTCAGCTTGATCCATGGAGCAAAATCATCAAAGCATTTAAATAAATCTACTACATCAGAAGGATTTTTAGGATGTGTGTTGAAAATATGTTACAACTCACTTTAAGTGTTCGTGATTTTGGACTCAAGCCAACAATGAAGCTAAGAGAGGCTGCCTTTCCACACCTGCAAAATAATTAAATAATTGTAGAAAGTATGTACATGTGTGGCACTTCACACAGAGAAGAAAATTTAACTGGCTAGGGTTACAGAAAACTAAGCAAAATTGACAAAACCATATGTAAATAATCCATTGTATATAGAGATAATAATAATTCTACCAGTTATTTAGCACTACGTCAAACATTGTACTATGAACTTTACATACAACTCTTTTAACTTGATCCTTATTATAACTCTATAAGATAGGTATTGTCCCCATTTTATGAAAGAGGAAATTTGGAGCTCAGAAATATTTAAGAAATTCACCCAAGGTCACTTAGGTGGATAATCCAGTCTTCGAATTCAAAGCTGTCTAACTTCTAAGATCATGCTCTTAATCGGTGCCTTATTATTTGATACCATTTAGAAGATTAAATAGAAACTAGAATAGAAAAAAAGGTGGCGGGTCAATTCTCCACCTAAAATAGTGATTGTATGTGTATTAGTCTTTCAGGACTGCCATAACAAAATACCATAGACTGGGTAGCTTAAAAAACAGGAACTTAGCACAGTTTGGGAGGCTAGAAATCCAAGATCAAGGCATCGGCAGATTTATTTTCTTCTGAGGCTCTCTCAATGGCTTGCAGATAGTCACCTTCTCTCTGTGGCCTTACATGGTCTTTTCTCTGTGGGCTCACATCCCTCGTTGATTTCTCCATGTGCCTAAATTTCCGCTTCTTATAAGGCTCCCAGTCAGATTGTGTTAGAGTCCACCTTCATGGCCTCATTGTGGCTTAATCACCTTTTAAAATATCCTATCTCCAAATATGCTTCCATTCTGAGGTACTGAAGGTTAGGGCTTTGACATATGAATTTTGGGAAGACACAATTTAGCCCATGACAATAAGATCATCAAATTCAACATCCTTTGAGGAGAGCATCTACTATGAGCTGGAATTGTGTTTAAAAATTTACATTTATTGGCCGGGCGCGGTGGCTCACGCCTATGATCCCAGCACTTTGGGAGGCCAGGGTGGGTGGATCACGAGGTCAGGAATTCGAGACCAGCCTGGCCAACATGGTGGCCTGTCTCTGCTAAAATACAGAATTTACCTGGGCACGGTGACAGGAGCCTGTAATCCCAGCTATTTGGGAGGCTGAGACAGGTGAATTGCTTGAACCCAGGAGGCAGAGTTTGCAGTGAGCCGAGATCGCGCCACTGCACTCTAACCTGCGTGACAGAGCGAGACTCCATCTCAAAAAAAAAATTACATTTATTTTCTCATTTAATCCTCACAACAATAATGTATGGTAGCTATAGATAACTCCATTTTACAGGTAAAAAACTGAAGCAAAGCAAGGTTAAGTAATAAGCCCAATATCATACATCTGGTAGGTTTTGAAACAAGAATTTGGACTAATCTCAATCTTACTCCAAAGTTCTTTCCTCACGCTAGTAGTTTTCTGTTGAGGACCCAGAGAAATCCCTTTATAAAGGTGTTTTATATTAGAAAAGTTAATTATGACAAATTCGAGTATTAGGTTAAAACAAAACAGAAAAAAATGGAAAATATCTCTTCAGGAATTTGGATACTAGAACTAAAAAGACATTTGAGAGTTCATGGGCACTGAGTACTAGAAATGGAAGACTTTGGGAACGGCAAGCTAATGGGAGGTTCTTATCTCACAAGAAATCTCAGTATAATTTGAAATACATTAACAGAGTCGCAGGGGAGTACCCCATCAAAATTGAAGAAAATCAGTTATCAATAACTAATTAGATGTAGTAAGGCAGTATTAATTTGCTGAGAAAGGCTGTAGTCTGAGTGACTATCAGAACAGCTGGAAGGAGAATTTGGATGGAGGGAGAATGATGACATAATACTTACCATAAGGTGGGGCTGGCAATTGTTTACATTAGCAAATGCGAACATTTCCATTGTGCGTGCTGTGAGCTTCTAGGTCCTGGCATGAGCAACCTAATTTGTCACTCACTTCTGACTCTTCAATCAAGTTATAGCAGTGTCCTTATTATTTGCCGGTTTAAAAGTTAGAATTTCAGTAAGAGAACATAGCTAAGTAAACAGGTTCCACCTATATCCTTTCTGGCAAATTTTTCCAGAGGATTAGGAATTACCTTTCCTTCCTAAGTTTTCATCTAACTCTTTTCTGACCCTATTATACATCCTTCAAGAGGAGTACTGGTTAATAATTGTCAGCTTTCTATTATATGGCAATAAATAACAATCAGCATTAAAACCCTTATTCCTAGTCCAAATCCACAAAGGAAAAACCACAGGGTTAATTAGATAATGTCATAGCTGTCATGGGTTTCAGATAAACAGGCAGGGGTCATTAGGATAGAACCAAGACACAAAATATGGCTCAGCACACAATCAATAACAGAATAGCAAATAGTTTTGCCCTGCTAGGGGCAAAACTCAAATATTTGCTGTTAAACATGTACTTAAAATCAGCTCTTTGTGCATATTCTAAAATAATTTTCACATATTCATCCATCACATTGTGATGTGGTAAGAAAAAAGATTTAGTGTTGGGACAGGCCTAAGTTTACTAACTGTTGCACTAACAAGCACTTTTAGCCTCTAAGCCTCAATTTACCCTTTTATATGGGAATAAATACAGGGTAATATAAGAAACAAGTGAAATTATGTATATAAAAGTGACTTGTAGAATGCAAACCACTAATAAATAATATTGTCATCATTTCCATTATTTGGTACTTTAGTAAAATAGTTTATAGGAATTGGCTTTAGATTTGAATTTATGTTCCCATTACTATTAATACGAAATTCCTTTGCATCTGTGGATTGACTATAGCTGAAATTGAGAAAAAGGAAGAGGATTTGGACTAGGTGACTTTTAAGGTTCTTTCCAATCAAAAATTCTGTCTTCATATGATTTGTTTAGTCAAGATTCACTACCATCTCTTCCTAAACACTACACAGACTTATTGAAAGGTAATTAAGGGGGGTGGAGCCAAGATGGCTGAATAGGAACAGCTCCGGTCTACAGCTCCCAGCGTAAGCGATGCAGAAGATGGGTGATTTCTGCATTTCCAACTGAGGTACCGGGTTCATCTCACTGGGGAGTGCCGGACAGTGGGTATAGGACAGTGGGTGCAGCGCACCACGCATGAGCCGAAGCAGGGCGAGGCATGGCCTCACCTGGGAAGCACAAGGGGTCAGGGAATTCCCTTTCCTAGTCAAAGAAAGGGGTGACAGACAGCACCTGGAAAATTGGGTCACTCCCACCCTAATACTGCGCTTTTCCAATGGGCTTATCAAACGGCACACCAGGAGATTATATCTCGCACCTGGCTCAGAGGGTCCTATGCCCATGGAGCCTCGCTCATTGTTAGCACAGCAGTCTGAGATCAAACTGCAAGGCAGCAGCAAAGCTTGGGGAGGGGCGCCCGCCATTGCTCAGGCTTGAGTAGGTAAACAAAGTGGCAGGGAAGCTCAAACTGGGTGGAGCCCACCACAGCTCAAGGAGGCCTGCCTGCCTTGTGGGCTCCACCTCTGGGGGCAGGGCACAGACAAACACAAGACAGCAATAACCCCTGCAGACTTAAATGTCCTGTCTGACAGCTTTGAAGAGAGTAGTGGTTCTCCCAGCACACAGCTTGAGATCTGAGAACAGGCAGACTGCCTCCTCAAGTGGGTCCCTGACCCCCGAGTAGCCTAACTGGGAGACACCCCCCAGTAGGGGCAGACTGACACCTCACACTGCCGGGTACTCCTCTGAGACAAAACTTCCAGAGGAACTATCAGGCAGCAGCATTTGCGGTTCACCAATATCTGCTGTTCTGCAGCCATCGCTGCTGATACCCAGGCAAACAGGGTCTGGAGTGGACCTCCAGTAAACTCCAACAGACCTACAGCTGAGGGTCCTGTCTGTTAGAAGGAAAACTAACAAACAGAAAGGACATCGACACCAAAACCCCATCTGTATGTAACCATCATCAAAGACCAAAGGTAGATAAAACCACAAAGATGGGGAAAAAACAGAGCAGAAAAACCAGAAACTCTAAAAATCAGAGCAACTCTCCTCCTCCAAAGGAACACAGCTCCTCACCAGCAATGGAACAAAGCTGGACGGAGAATGACTTTGACGAGTTGAAAGAGGAAGGCTTCAGAAGATCAAACTACTCTGAGCTAAAGGAGGAAGTTTGAACCAATGGCAAAGAAGTTAAAAACTTTGAAAAAAATTAGACAAATGGATAACTAGAATAACCAATGCAGAGAAGTCTTAAAGGACCTGATGGAGCTGAAAACCATGGCAGAAGAACTACATGATGAATGCGCAAGCCTCAGTAACCAATGCGATCAACTGGAAGAAAGGGTATCAGCAATGGAAGACAAACTGAATGAAATGAAGCATGAAGAGAAGTTTAAAGAAAAAAGAATAAAAAGAAATGAACAAAGCCTCCAAGAAATATGGGACTAGGTGAAAAGACCAAATCTACATCTAATTGGTGTACCTGAAAGTGACAGGGAGAATGGAAACAAGTTGGAAAACACTCTGCAGGATATTATCCAGGAGAACTTCCCCAATCTAGCAAGGCAGGTTAACATTCAAATTCAGGAAATACAGAGAATGCCACAAAGATACTCCTCGAGAAGAGCAACTCCAAGACACATAATTGTCAGATTCACCAAAGTTGAAATGAAGGAAAAAATGTTAAGGGCAGCCAGAGACAAAGGTCGGGTTACCCACAAAGGGAAGCCCATCAGACTAACAACTGATCTCTCAGCAGAAACTCTACAAGCCAGAAGAGAGTGGGGGCCAATATTCAACAATCTTAAAGAAAAGAATTTTCAACCCAGAATTTCATATCCAGCCAAACTAAGCTTCATAAGTGAAGGAGAAATAAAATCCTTTACAGACAAGCAAATGCTGAGACATTTTGTCACCACCAGGCCTGCCCTAAAAGAGCTCCTGAAGGAAGCACTAAATATGGAAACGAGCAACCAGTACCAGCCACTGCAAAAACATGCCAAATTGTAAAGACCATCAAGGCTAGGAAGAAACTGCATCAACTAACGAGCAAAATAACCAGCTAACATCATAATGACAGGATCAAATTCACACATAAAAATACTAATCTTAAATGTAAATGGGCTAAATGCTCCAATTAAAAGACACAGACTGGCAAATTGGATAAAGAGTCAAGACCTGTCAGTGTGCTGTATTCAGGAAAGCCATCTCACATGCAGAGACACACATAGGCTCAAAATAAAGGGATGGAGGAAGATCTACCAAGCAAATGGAAAACAAAAAAAGGTAGGGTTGCAATCCTAGTCTCTGATAAAACAGACTTTAAACCAACAAAGATCAAAAGAGACAAAGAAGGCCATTACAGAAGGGTAAACGGATCAATTCAACAAGAAGAACTAACTCTCCTAAATATATATGCACCCAATACAGGAGCACCCAGATTCATAAAGAAAGTCCTTAGTGACCTACAAAGAGACTTAGACTCCCACACAATAATAATGGGAGACTTTAACACCCCACTGTCAACATTAGACAGATCAATGAGACAGAAAGTTTAACAAGGATATCCAGGAATTGAACTCAGCTCTGCACCAAGCGGACCTAATAGACATCTACAGAACTCTCCACCCCAAATCAACAGAATATACATTCTTTTCAGCACCACACCACACCTATTCCAAAATGGACTGCATAGTTGGAAGTAAAGCACTCCTCAGCAAATGTAAAATAATAGAAACCACAACAAACTGTCTCTCAGAACATGGTGCAATCAAACTAGAACTCAGGATTAAGAAACTCACTCAAAACCGCTCAACTACATGGAAACTGAGCAAACTACTCTTGAATGACTACTGGGTACATAAGGAAATGAAGGCAAAAATAAAGATGTTCTTTGAAACCAATGAGAACAAAGACACAACATACCAGAATCTCTGGGACACATTCAAAGCAGTGTGTAGAAGGAAATTTATAGCACTAAATGCCCACAAGAGAAAGCAGGAAAGATCTAAAATTGACACCCTAACATCACAATTAAAAGAACTAGAGAAGCAAGAGCAAACACATTCAAAAGCTAGCAGAAGGCAAGCAATAACTAAGATCAGAGCAGAACTGAAGGAAATAGAGACACAAAAAACCCTTCAAAACATCAATGAATCCAGGAGCTGGTTTTTTGAAAAGATCAACAAAATTGATAGACCGCTAGCAAGACTAATAAAGAAAAAAAGAGAGAAGAATCAAATAGACGCAATAAAAAATGACAAAGGGGATATCCTACCAATCCCACAGAAATACAAACTACCATCAGAGAATACTACAAACACCTCTACGCAAATAAACTAAAAAATCTAGAAAAAATGGATAAATTCCTTGACATATACACTTTCCCAAGACTAAACAAGGAAGAAGTTGAATCTCTGAATAGACCAATAACAGGATCTGAAATTGGGGCAATAATTGATAGCTTACCAACCAAAAAAAGTCCAGGACCAGTGGATTCACAGCTGAATTCTACCAGAGGTACAAGGAGGAGTTGGTACCATTCCTTCTGAAACTATTCCAATCAATAGAAAAAGAGGGAATCCTCCCTAACTCATTTTATGAAGCCAGCATCATCCTGATACCAAAGCCTGGCAGAGACACAACAAAAAAAAGAGAATTTTAGACCAATATCCTTGATGAACATTGATGCAAAAATCCTCAATAAAATACTGGCAAACCGAATCCAGCAACACATCAAAAAGCTTATCCACCATGATCAAGTGGGCTTCATCCCTGGGATGCAAGGCTGGTTGAACATACAAAAATCAATAAACGTAATCCAGCGTATAAACAGAATCAAAGACAAAAAAACACGTGATTATCTCAATAGTTGCAGAAAAGGCCTTTGACAACATTCAACAACTCTTCATGCTAAAAACTCTCAATAAATTAGGTATTGATGGGACGTATCTCAAAATAATAAGAGCTATCTATGACAAACCCACAGCCAATATCATACTGAATGGACAAAAACCGGAAACACTCCCTTTGAAAACTGGCACAAGACAGGGATGCCCTCTCTCACCACTCCTATTCAACATAGTGTTGGAAGTTCTGGCCAGGGCAATGAGGCAGGAGAAGGAAATAAAGGGTATTCAATTAGGAAAAGAGGAAGTCAAATTGTCCCTGTTTGCAGATGACATGATTGTATATCTAGAAAACCCCATTGTCTCAGCCCAAAATCTCCTTAAGCTGATAAGCAACTTCAGCAAAGTCTCAGGATACAAAATCAATGTACAAAAATCACAAGCATTCTTATACACCAATAACAGACAAACAGAGAACAAAATCGTGAGTGAACTCCCATTCCCAATTGTTTCAAAGAGAATAAAATACCTAGGAATCCAACTTACAAGGGACGTGAAGGACCTCTTCAAGGAGAACTACAAACCACTGCTCAATGAAGTTAAAGAGGATACAAGCAAATGGAAGATCATTCCATGCTCATGGGTAGGAAGAAGGAATATCGTGAAAATGGCCATACTGCCCAAGGTAATTTATAGATTCAATGTCATCCCCATCAAGCTACCCATGACTTTCTTCACAGAATTGGAAAAAACTACTTTAAAGTTCATATGGAACCAAAAAAGAGCCCACATTGCCAAGCCAATCCTAAGCCAAAAGAACAAAGCTGGAGGTATCATGCTACCTGACTTCAAACTATACTACAAGGCTACAGTAACCAAAACAAAATATTACTGGTACCAAAACAGAGATATAGACCAATGGAACAGAACAGAGCCCTCAGAAATAATGCCGCATATCTACAACTACCTGATCTTTGACAAACCTGACAAAAACAAGAAATGGGGAAAGGATTCCGTATTTAATAAATGGTGCTGGAAAAACTGGCTAGCCATATGTAGAAAGCTGAAACTGGATCCCTTCCTTACACCTTATACAAAAATTAATTCAAGATGGGTTAAAGACTTAGGTGTTAGACCTAAAACCATAAAAACCCTAGAAGAAAACCTAGGCAATACCATTCAGGACATAGGCATGGGCAAGGACTTCATGTCTAAAACACCAAAAGCAATGGCAACAAAAGCCAAAACTGACAAATGGGATCTAATTAAACTAAAGAGCTTCTACACAGCAAAAGAAACCATTGTCAGAGTGAACAGGCAACCTATAGAATGGGAGACAATTTTTGCAACCTACTCATCTGACAAAGGGCTAATATCCAGAATCTACAATGAACTCAAACAAATTTACAAGAAAAAAACAAACAACCCCATCAAAAATTGGGCAAAGGATATGAACAGACACTTCTCAAAAGAAGACATTTATGCCGCCAAAAGACACATGAAAAAATACTCATCATCACTGGCCATCAGAGAAATGCAAATCGAAACCACAATGAGATACCATCTCACACCAGTTAGAATGGTGATCATTAAAAAGTCAGGAAACAACAGGTGCTGGAGAGGATGTGGAGAGATAGGAACACTTTTACGCTGTTGGTGGAACTGTAAACTAGTTCAACCATTGTGGAAGTTGGTGTGGCGATTCCTCAGGGATCTAGAACTAGAAATACCATTTGACCCAGCCATCCCATTACTGGGTATACCCAAAGGAGTACAAATCATGCTGCTGTAAAGACACATGCACACGTATGTTTATTGCGGCACTACTCACAATAGCAAAGACTTGGAACCAACCCAAAAGTCCAACAATGATAGATTGGATTAAGAAAATATGGCACATATACACCATGGAATACTATGCAGCCATAAAAAATGATGAGTTCATGTCCTTTGTAGGGACATGGACGAAGCTGGAAACCATCATTCTGAGCAAACTATCTCAAGGACAAAAAACCAAACACCACATGTTCTCACTCATAGGTGGGAACTGAACAATGAGAACACATGGACACAGGAAGGGGAACATCACACTCTGGGGACTGTTGTGGGGTGCGGGGAGGGGGAAGGGATAGCATTAGGTAATATACCTAATGCTAAATGACGAGTTAATGGGTGCAGCACACCAACATGGCACATGTATACATATGTAACAAACCTGCACGTTGTGCACATGTACCCTAAAACTTAAAGTATAATAATAATTAAAAAAAAAGAATAAAGTGCCAACTTGTTAAAAAAAAAAAAAGGAAAAGGTAATTAAAATGGTATCCATGTAGGTACTGGCCAACAGAGCTGAACTGTAGCCCACAGTAGACAAAAAACACACAAATTCTCAAAAGTGTCCTTCTACCAATTAGAGATTTCTGGAGATCACATTTTTATTAATATATTTCTATTTACATCTGTGTACATTTATATCTGATTATAAAAGTAAGGTGCATGTATTAGAGAAACTTTAGAAAATCTAGACATCTATTTCTAGTCCTTTTTAGGACCTTTTTAAATAAATTGGAAGTGTCTAATATATACTATTTTGATTTCTTTTTTTAACTAACATTTTGTTGTAAGCATTCCCCATTTCATTAAATATTCTTCTTCAGACACATCATTTTTGAATGCCAATATTATGTTTAATCATGTAATTATTCCACAATTTATTTAATCATTTCCATATTCTTGAATATTTTATTTTTTTCTAACTTTATACTATTATAAATAATAATGAGGATAATACCTTCATACTAAATCTTTGGTAAAGTTTCAGTATTTTAGGGGATATTACTATGTCAAAATAATATGTCTTCATTTGTAATTCTAAATTTTATTATTAAGAGGTTGTGCAAATTTATACCCTCATTAAGAGGTTAGGTCTCTGTGGAGAGCTCGTGTTACAAGGGACTTTTGTAAAGTGAAATCCCATACCACCTACATTGATGTTTTCATTTAGATGTTGACAAAATTCAGAGAGATTTTAAAATGATAAGAATTCCTAAGCATAATCAACTAAACAGAACAGAAAAACGTGGCAATGTAAAACATGTGACTGCATGTGATTTCAGTTTGGAGGGAGGAACTATAAAAGTTTTCATAGAACTTTAAGGCTAGAGAGAAGCTTAGTAATCTCTAAGTTTTACTTCTAAATTTTAAAAGTGATGACACAAACTTTCATCCAATTTTATCAAATAAGAATTGTAGTTTTTTGTGTTATTGTTATTTGAGGGGAAAATGAGAAAATAAGAACAAGGACAGCTGAAAGGGCAGAGAAAGAAATATAGATATATCTACAGAAGGAGAATTTCATCTTAAAATAATACTAGAGACCTTTAAAAACCAGTTTTGGTTTTTGCAATGATAGACAAAATAAACAGAAATATGAACCCTTGAAATTTTTATTCACACTGAAGTTGTGAGCAAGATTCAGGCCATAGACCATAGATTCTTTGATCCTGATCTAGATGAAAAAAACTACAAAGGGATGTAAGCTTTTCTTGGGTTTGGAATATGGAGACAAGAGGAAACAATTTCTTTTAGACCTAGCCTCTCTTGTTTCCTGAAACTTTAATTCATCATGACTCATGAAGATTGCACCAGTTTAAGTAGGGATATATATTTATTTTCGTGATGGTAATAACAAATTTAATAATGCCATTACTGAATTAATTTTTCTTAATGGCTAACAAAGGGTTATAATGTTATAATTTTGTAAATGGCCATACTAATTATTAGCTCTGCTAAAACTGGCACACTGGAGTTTCAGACAATAAGCCAGGATACCAGCATGACTTTGCTTTACCATAAGCAGAAGTTCAAACACACGGTCATGAGGGTAAGAAAAAGGATGAGTGACTTCGTGCCTGTCTGATTGCAGACTCTAAAACAAGAAAACCTTTTAAATGGGTCCTCTCTGGCTATGAAGGATAAACTTTCTGTTCTAATCAGCTCCTTGGCTGGCTCGGGCTGACAAAACATTATTGTTCTCTTAACCTTTGCCAAGCTGAGGAACTTTACAAGCATTTTTTCAGTAACAGCCAGAGTGATTTATGGGTTTTTCTCCCTCTAGCTCTCCGTGGTTAGAAAAACAAATTTTATTTCTCAGTCTCATTCCTTCCTCCCCATTATTCCCAGTTCTCTACTGTCTTTAGCCATAATCCTTCTTTATTTAATGCAAATATTACTTTATTTTGCATAGTTTTTAAGTATGTCTGTGTCTAATGTTCTTTAATTATGGAGACCAAATATCTTGAATTTTCTGGAACAGTTTCTATTTAAATATTGTGTACCTCTAAATATACTAAGACTTTAAATTAAAAAAAAAAAATCTGTATTATTGTTTTCCTAAACCATGAAAAAACATCCAGTTTCTCAACAAATACCACTGTTTTCCATAAGGCCGTTTTTAAGTTTGAGCGGCAAAACCTTGAGGGGAGACAGATACATGATAGTTTGTTTTTAAGAGCAAAATCTCTGGTTTCAGGTAGATTTGAGGCTGCCACATTTTTGGTGTGTGATGTTGGGCAAGTTACTTAACTTCTCTGTGCTTCAATTTTCTTATCGACCAAAGGAATATAAAATTACCAACCTCATGAGATTGTTGTAAAGATTAAGTGAGAGAATTCATGCTAGCACTCAACACTGCCTGGCACATAGGACGACTTCCATAAATGTTTGCTACTATTATTTTTCAGCACCAGAAGTCTCATATGAATATTAGTGATTATAAAAGAATTGAAAGAAAAAAGTGTTAATTTTACTATGCAAAGTAAAAGAACTTAACATGAACATTATAAAATACTGTTTGTTATGATTTGGACCTTGGGTAGTATGTACCTGGATATTTGTAGGTTGCTAATTACCTAGTCATCTAGAAAGGAAATCTCATTTAGAAAGGAAATCTAAGAAACTATAAGCTGCGTAGATTCAGTTGGGGAGACACAGAGTGATAAATCTTGGAAAAGTAGGTAATTAACTCAGTCATGTTATCTGTTAAAGGAACACTGTGGCCTTAAGTTGTATCTTTACAAGAACTTGCTAGCAAAATGAGACAAATGTATCTAATAGATCAATGACTGTTGAATATGTTTAAAGATTTTCAACATGGAAACATTATTCTTCCAGAAATGGAAGGAAAATATATAAGCTTAGTCTCTGTCTATTTAAACTCCAGAACTGAGGAAAGCTGTTTGCTTGCTTGTTCTTTATTGTTTGTTTCTTCATTAACAATTTTTGGAGATTTAAATAACCATTGGCATTGTAAAATCTTTCCTAGTAATCAGCATGGAGTACTCAGAGACTTGCCAAGAAATTTGGGGGGAAAAAATGGAAAGAATAAACAATTATTAAGCAAGCTGAGTTCTTCAAACAAGTATGAGAATAATAATGTGCCATCATTTCAACAGCAGATGATGAAAGTGACAATGCAAATATTGTATTAACTAACATTTGTCTTGGCTGAATTTTTAATTTCTCTTTATGTAATTGTATAGTTTTTAAAAAGTATTATATATATAATTAAATGTGATTTAAATTTTATACCACAGTAAGATGTTATGTAAATTAGTTTACAAATAAGAAAAAAATAAGCTTTTTGTAAGAATATGTGCCCTAATTTATAAACATAAAAATACAGTTACCATATTTATAATTCCTCAACTCAGAGAGATTTCCACAGTCCAAGAAAGGAAGAAAGTTGAAAGAATTAAGGTTAGTAGCTACCAAAACATGTGTTTCATGGAGTGTGGGAAGCAAACAAGATGATGAGGAAGGAATCTTATTCCCTTTATGCGTATCAGGCTTCCTGAAGGCCTTAGCCTTTGATAAGACAGGAATAGAAAAGAGGAAAAATACCAGGGAATAGAAAGAAGGGTCAGTTTTATGGTTTGTAAAAGGGCTTACAAAAATAGATTTTTGTCTCTTTTGTCTATGGTTATATCCCCATCACATTATATTAACAATAGTGACTAACATGTGGTAGGTATTTTGTAAATATTTGCTGAATGAATGAACACTAGTATGTAATATTCATGCTTCATGCTAGGATTTCAGGCCTGAGTTTGAAGATAATTAAGCCACAAGTTAGATAAAATACTTCACCTATTCAACAAATATGTATTGTGTGCGTATTTTGCACTAGGTACAATGCTAGATGTTATAGGGGACAAAAATCATAAAGAAAAAAGAAATGAAAAAGAGAGTAATACTAACTTGAAGGACTAATAACAATTGAGTATAGGGGAATAACAGACATATAAACAACTAATAATAAACCACTGTAATAAGATTATTGATGTGAATTGTAAAAACAGAGTCTTGTGATTGTATTGAAGGAATAACCAATTATTCCTCAGTAAAGAAGAGGTGAATGAATTGAGATGGATTTTTAGCTCTTTTGGAATCTTATTCTGTACTCAGCTTCGTTAACATGACTCTATGCTGATTTTCTTCTGACTTCTTTGAGGTCCCTTTCATCTTCTTCACTGGGTCATCTTCCTTTTCCCAACACTTCAGGATCCTTAAATCCTAAGGATTTAGGAGCAAATGAAATATAAGCAAGAATTGGTAATTAACTCAAATTACTATTTCAAGAAGTTTGGTAGTAAAGAAAAAAGGGAAACAATAAAGAGGCAAAAAGAGAGGGACTGGAGGGGATATGAGTGAATTGGAGAGATGTTATAATATTTTCAAGCAGAGTGGTAGAACTAGAAAACAAACTACTAAAGATCCAAATGTAAACTAAGATAACCAGTGAAACAAGGTCATTACCTGCTACAACTATTTCATAATCTTTCTACTTTTCTCAATCCTCCAATTTCTCCTTTCCCACTGCAACTCCAGCTGATGACTTTGCCATGAGTAGAGAAAATGGAAGCCACTCAATGTGAATGTCCTCATCATCCTATCATCAAATCTTCTAGACAACACTAACATCAGCACTCATCCTTGCCTTCTCTAATTACCCATCCCCACCCCACCCCTTTGACAATTGACAGATTTCTCCTTCTGTCCCAAACCATAAGCTCTGGATCTACCCCTCCAGGTTTCTCATGAACCTCACCCCATTTAGTAGCTCCTTCTCTCTCCCACATCTTCAGCCATTTCCTTTTTGATCCTTCCCTCAGCATTTAAACATGATATAAAATCATCTATCTTAAAACAAAACAAATTATCTTGACTCCCATATTTCCTTTCAGCTACCTGTATCTCTCTACTCCCCCTTTATAGACAAATAAATATCTTAAAGTAGTTTAAACTTCCTCATTTTCCCTATATAACCCCTACTAATCTGGTCCATTCTCACCACTACAATGCAAGTGCATTTGCTAAGGTTACCAGTGTTCAACAGGTTTAAATTCAATGTACACTTCAACTTCCTTTCTATTTGATTTATCAAAGGCACTCAACACAGTTGACTCTCTCTCCTTTTCAAATACTCACTTCTCTTGGCCTCTATGGCTCACTCTCCTAGTTGTCCTAATTTTCTGGCCAGTCCTTTCTGGACCCTCCCTCTCTCCACAGAAGGAATTGGACTGCCTCAAGTCTTTCTTCTAGATTTTTTTTCTTCACACTCTACATTCTAATTTCTATAACCTATGATCTGTCTGGTCCCATGGCTTTAAATACCATGTATATGGTAATCACCTACAAATTGATAACTGGAGCCCAGATCTTTTTTCTGAGCTCCAGAACTATAGTCACCTTTCTACTTGATAGCTCCATTGGAATGTCTTCTAGAAATCTCAAAAAAACATGGCTGAACTAAACTACTCCTGTTCCCCATTTCAGTGAGTGGTACTTCAATCAACTAGATTTCTCATACCAGAAACCCAGAAATTACTCTTGATCCTTTTGTCTCCCTCACTTGGTGACAGCCAATCTATGACTAACTCCTGTGTTCTGTCAATTCTACATCCTATACCTCTTTTAAGATATTGTTGGGCTTTGGAGAAAAAAAGCACATTTACTCTCTGCATCTCACAGATTAGGCCACTAAAAAAAGAATATTTGTAGATTGGAATTTTGAAAGGAGGTTGATACATTATATAATATTTAGAATTAAATGATTGTCTTGGAAATGTTATCTTCCTACCCTGCTAACAGCCCCTACCTCCCACTTTATTCCTGCCTTCTCCCATTTAATCACACTCTCCTACTTCTATCAAACATCATGTACATCTCTCTTTGTGATATGGTTTGGCTGTGTCCCCACCCAAATTTCATCTTGAATTGTAATTCCCACAATTTTCATGTGTTGTGGGAGGGACCCAGTGGGAGGTGATTGAATTATGGGGGTGAGTCTTTCTTGCACTGTTCTCATGATAGTGAATGAGTCTCATGAGGTCTGAGAGTTTTAAAAATGGGAGTTTCCCTGCACAAGCTCTTTCTTAGCCTGCCGCCATCCATGTAAGACGTGACTTGCTCCTCCTTGCCTTCTGCCGTGATTGTGAGGCCTCCTCAGGCATGTGGAACTGTAAGTCCAATTAAACCTGTCTCTTTTGTGAATTGCCCAGTCTTGGGTATGTTTTTATCAGCAGTGTGAAAACAGACTAATACACTTTGTTCATCAATATGACAATTAAGAATCCCTAGAGACTTCTCCCCTTCTCTATGTACAAAATTTTGATAGTTTACCCTGATTCTTCAAGCTATGGTTAAATTTTAGGGAAAAAAATCCATGAGAAAAAGTCCTACACAATTATGGAAGCATTAGATATTCTTTCATCCTGCAATAGGAAAGATGAACAAAAGATTTTCTTTCTTTTGCCACATCAGATAGCATGCTTTACTGAGTGGGAAGAATTAGGAGATTCCTACCTAGCAGTGTTATAATAAGGCTTTATTTATGTTTATTTAAAATAATTAACAATTTTCCTCTGGATATTTTTTTAGTTATTTAAGCTTATTTTTTTAAACCCTGGATTAAAATCAAAATTAACTGCTTTAGAGTTTGCATGATGTTTTGATTTTCAGATAAAAATAAACAGAAGCTCAGTATTCTTTTCACTTTGGCATTTAGATTTTTTTCTAATATCATAAAAGAAGCAAGCTTGCCTCCTGGGTGTAAGAAGAGCTTCTAGCTGTAAGAGTCAATCAATCGGGAAGGGCATTTGTGGGTAGGAGTTGTGAAAAATTGCCAACTTGACCTTGAAAAAAAGAAAAATAATTGAGACTAGTGGCAATGAGCATTTATTTCCCATGTGCTGCAGTCTCTCTCACATTTTTAATTTTCTTTCAATTTCTGTCCCCTACCACCTATTCAACACACATTTATGTGCACTATTAACATCATAATGTATATTAACGAGCCCTCACAGCTGGTTAAGAAGCTTCTTCTAGCAGGCTAATAACTTTTCTTTGACTCAATGATGCCGTGCATAATGTAGTCTAATAAAACTATGTCATGTGCATTGAAAAGCAGTCAGAATAAAATAATAGTTTACTCACCCAAAGAGGCAGCAACTAAGAATACAGCTATACTAGCCAATCATCCCTATTTGTATAGCTCAGTAGAATTTGTATCCTTGTATACATTTCCTTGTTTCCATATATGTGCACTGTGAAGGCTAGACACAAGATGATAGAATCTCAAGGTTGGAAAAGATAAAAGGCTACCTACTCCAATAAACTGTTTAATGCTTAGATTATTTCAGCAACATTTGCTCAGTGTGATCCTCCAACACATACATGAAACACTACCCTCACCCCCATCTTCCCTCATCTATCCTCAGCAACAGAGAGAAGGACTAAAATATCTCTAGAGAAGAGGTTTTCGACCTTGGCTGCACAATGGGACACCTGTGGGAGCGTTTTAAAATCACCATGCTGAAGGTACAGCCCAGATCAACCAAATTAGAATCTGAGGGTGGGACCCAAAAATCAGAATTTTTTAACTCTCTCAAGTGACTTCAACTGCAGCCAAGATTGAGAGCCACTGCTCTAGAGGCAACACATCCTGGAAATGATAAGTCGTTTTCATAGAAAGTCAAAATTTGTTACTCTGCAATATTCGTCTTAAAAGAAGTTTTTTTGGGAATTTGTAGCTGAAACTCAGGGAAATAACCTCTTCTCCTTGCCAAGTCAAAAATTAAATAATAGATTATTGTTTATAAAGCATAGGTGAAAGACTCAGAACTATATATGACAGACATCACATATAATTCCAATTTGTTTTTCAGCCCTTGGGAGACAGATCTCTTTCCTTAAACTTGTACATATCTGAGCAGAAAAGAAGCCTGTCTCTTAAAAGGATTGGACAGAAACATTTTCGCTAGAGTCTCGTTCTTTGGACGTGATCCAATCACTACTTCTCTACCTATGAGACTGTTGATCATCTCTTTCTCAGATGAGGTATGATAACATCCAACTAAACTTTTTGTTTTGGGACACTGAATAAAGGGTTTCCTTTATACGCTAGTAAAGATATTGCAAAGTAACAATCATGGACATATAGCAATTTATTAAGACTGTGAAACATCTCAAGATATTATTCCTTTCGTTTTTTATTACACACACACACAGAAAGAGAGAGAGAGAGAGAGATGGTCATAGATATACATATATAGTCTTTGGAACTAAATGGCTTAAGCCTTGCAGTATTATGTTCTTTTAGTGGCTGATTATCAAGTCTATCCATTCCCAGAAGAAAGCATTGTCATATTCCTAATGGCTTAACTGTACTAGGATAGATAGTTCAAATTGTGGTCATCATCCCTCCACATGAAGGACTGTAGAAATATTTGACAACAGATGTAACTTCTCCTTTGATTTTTTTCTTCTCTATCCTCAATTTCTTCAACTATTCCTCATAAACTTGGCTTTACTTTCTCTCAATATCTTGGTGATTTTTCCTCTTAACACCCTCCAGATGCCTGTAACCCTCTTAAATTATAGTTCCCAGAAATGTAGAGATTATCTTCTTAGTCTTAGATACCATAAAATAGAAAGTCTCTTACTTGAAAGAATGGGATAGGTAATTGATCAATAACCAGAAAAAAAGTACTGATATGAAGAACTGTTAAATAAGTAATAATCAGTTGGTGCAAACTGTTACACAACTGCTGGAAGTTTATAGTATCAGGCCTGAACAATTTAAAAAATGAAGTTGCCATTAACTGGTCAGGGAAGAATTCAAAGGGAGAAAGTTTTTTTTGTTTTGTTTTGTTTTTTATACTTTAAGTTCTGGGATATGTGCAGAATGTGCAGGTTTGTTACATAGGTTATACACATGCCATGGTAGTTTACTACACTCATCAACCTGTCATCTACATTATGTATTTGTCCTAATGCTATCCCTCCCCTAGCCCCCCACACCCCGACAGGCCCCGGTGTGTGATGTTCCCCTCCCTGTGTCCATGTGTTCCCATTGTTCAACTTGGGGGAGAAAGTTTTTAAGGGCAGATCAGGACTTAGTTTTAGACCTGTTAATATTTTGGCCCTGTTCATTGGCAGTTGGATATTTAAGTCAGGCATTCAGGGGAGAGACCTGAGCCATAAAATGTCTTTATAAATTTATAGCCATGAACCACCAGTGTTTAGATTGCATTTAAAGAGCCAGACACAGTGGCTCACACACCTGTAGTCCTGCATTCCAGCTCTGGGCAACAGAGTGAGACCCCATCTCTAAACAAACAAACAAACAAACAAACAAAAATCATGCTACTGAATCAGACCACCAAGGGAATGAGTATGGATAGAAAAGAGTAGAGATGTAATCACTAAAACCTAAGGTATTCCAATGTAAAGAACTGAGTAATAACCAAGAAGAGAGAATAAAAAGGAACAGTAAATGAGGTAGTTGAAAAACGAATAGAGTGTGTTGTCCATGCCAAGTGAAAAGGAGGGAGTGCTCAAGTCTGTCAAATGCTGCTGAAAGTCTAATAAGATGAGGACATGAGGTCATGGATGATATTGACAGGAGTGGTTGTGGTGGAGTGGCAAGGGTAAAAGCTTATTTAGAATGCATTCCAGGAAGAAGGGGAAGAGAGAAATTGGAGATGAAGCGTATAAATACCTTTTTCTTAGGGTTTTGTTGTAAAGGGAAATGGCATGTGAGCTGGCAAGGAAGTGAGTTCAAGAGAAGGGTAATTTATTTATTTATTTATTTATTTATTTATTTATTTATTTTATGATAAGATAATAAAAACAGAATGTTTACTATTGGGAAATCAATGATGCATGAAAGTAGGAAGAATAGTTGGAGGACATCCCTGAGTGGGAGAGAAGGGAAAAGATCTAGAAAAGTTGAAGGCCTGGACTTATTTACAAGTACATAGAACTTATCCATAATAACAGAGGAGAAAGCAAAGTATATGGTCACAAGTATGTTAAGAAAGGTAGAAAAGGTGGTATCACTTTTGCAAGTTCTTAAATATTGCTTCTATTTTATCAGGCAAAGTGGAAGCAAGGTCATAAGCTAAAAGTGAAGCTTATGAGGGAAGAAATGTTGAAAATTTAAAAAGAAAGGAGAAGAATGAAATAATTATCTGAATCTAACAGAGTAGGCCTATGTGTAATTGGTGGGCAGCATTAAGAGTCCACTTAAGGTTAATGATCATGAATACAAAATGAAACAAGTCAACATTGTTCTGTGTTTTTCTCTAGTCATGTTGACTGAACAAGTACAGATAGGCAATGGCATAAAATTGGATTTAGTCTTGATTGAAGATGAGTGAAAGCAATATAGTGAGATAGTGGCGAGTGGAAAGAAGGTAAGGGTATAAGTACAGGAGTTAGTATACTGATAGATCATAGAATTCAAACTGAATAACAAAGGGACAAAAGACATGAGTGATTAGATAGTAGAATACTTTATGGTCTTGGTGGGTTCAAAGGATTGCTGGAATTCAGGTACTGAAAGAAATGAACTAAAAAGGTTAGAGGAGGTGGAAGTCAGAATAGAAAACTTGAAATTGAGATTATGCAGAGATTTCAGTTATTCACAATCACAAAATTTAAGATACGACCTGTAGAGTGGCTGAAGGAAGGTGGAAGACAAGGACATTGGAAGAAAGGAAGGAGATAAAGAAACCAAAAAGTCAGGCAATTGGAAGGATTATCCATCTGTATGAAGAAATTACCAAAAATAAAGACAGCTGTATTATTGGAGAAAGAGACAGAAATGAGGAGGAGTGATCTTCTTGGGGTCAGTACATCACTACAAAAGGGAGGGCTCATGGGTGGAATAGACATCTGATGACATAGGAATCAAATCTTGGAAAGGAGATGGGGTAGAGGTTGTTTTGTGTATTTCTTCTTCATGTACCATATTTGTTTCATCTCCAGCTTGTCATTAATATGTTTGTTTAACACATTCTACACTTTTATTTGTGACTTCAGTTAAGTTACAAAATAAAACAAGTTTGGGATAGGGCTCTGAGGTATGCCACTAGAAACCTATCTCTGGATTGATACTGACCCATTAATAAACATTCCATGAATTATTGCTATGGTTCAATAATTATTATCTTGTCCATGAGGATGTCCAGTGTTGTGAGAGATGTCATGTCTTGCTGAAATATTGATATTTCACAACAAGCACAATGTCTTTCAGACTATTTCATGCAGCTTTGGTAATCCACATATTCTCAGATTCTCAAGTCCCTTATGAGAATTATGCTAATGTTATCATTTCATTTTAATAAGAATCATTTTTAAGTTAATACAAATGTATTCAATATAATTTGAATGACCCTTTTATAACTGAGGATTGGCACACTACTTTTGTTCCTGGGTCTGCATTTATCCTTGGTACCAAAAAGTACTACTTTAATTGTTTTTAATTAAGAAAAAAAGGATGCCTTAATACTGAAATGATGCATGCACACCAAAAGCAGGCTAAATGACATCACTGTGTCCTCTATAAATGATGATTTTGCAGTGTTTCAAATAAAGAAAAAACGTGGGTGACCTGAATCATCACACGGCATGTGATAGAATTGGAAGACTAAACCTATGGAAGTCAATACCATGTTCACATTACTAAACAGCAATTTTATTTTAATTCACGGGATGAATTTTAATAATACTAGTTGTGTAGCTTTTTTAGCATTCATATTTGATGATCTTGCTTTACAGTTTTATTTATATTTAGCTATCATTAAAATAAAAATAATTTAAACAGATTCTATCTTCTTTCTTCTTCTTCTTTTTTTTTTTTTTTTTTTTTTTTTTTTTGAGACGGAGTCTCGCTCTGTTGCCCAGGCTGGAGGGCAGTGGCACGATCACGATCTCGGCTCACTGCAAGCTCCACTTCCCGGGTTCATGCCATTCTCCTGCCTCAGCCTCCCGAGTAGCTGGGACTACAGGCGCCCGCCACCACGCCCGGCTAATTTTTTTTGTATTTTTGGTAGCGGCAGGGTTTCACCATGTTAGCCAGGATGGTCTCGATCTCCCGACCTCGCGATCCGCCCGCCTCGGCCTCCCAAAGTGCTGGAATTACAGGCATGAGCCACTGTGCTTGGCCCTCTTCTTTCTTCTTAATAGGGTTTACATATTACTTAAGTTAGGAGAGAAATTCAGCCTTTTCCATTCCTCTTATATTTCTGGTCTAACAACTCTGATTGTTAAAAATGAGAGTAAAATATCTAACATGTCTTATCCTTGAGGACTCCATGCTAGCTAGGAACCAGAAATAACTCCCCTTTTTTCTGCATCCTTTAAAGTCGCTCTTATATTAGTCAGAATAACAGCTCCCCAAGCTATCAACCCGGCCAAATCTCAATAGTTTAACATGGCAAAAGTTCATAACTACCTTATACTACAAGCCTAATGTAGGGCAGCAGAGAAGCTCTTTTCATCATAGTCCCTCAGATACCCATGCTAATAGAGATTTCATTTTGACACAAACTTCCCTGATCGCCAGAACAGTGGCAAACTGCACACTGGTTTTCAAAGTTTTCACCTAGAAATGCTACATATCACTCCAAATCACCTTTCATTGGCCAAAGAAAATCACATGAGCATACTTCACTTCAAAAGGGACTAGGAATAGGAGTCCCACCACATCAATGGTAGAAGAATTAGATTTGGTAGATAATCTCTCTAGAAACTTATAGGATAAATATCACATTTACCAGTTTAGAATGAATATTTGTGGAATTAGTGTTCTTTTCTGTTGTTTGCAAACAACAGAAATGAACTCTAGCTAACTTAGCAATAAAAAAGAATTCATTGGAAGAACTAAAAAGAGAAGATTAAATAACCAGTTTCAGAAAGACCAAGAACCCAAGGTAGTTCTGGGTGTCTCAATAGCAACAATAAATGGATGGCCTGTTTAAAATGCCCTATCAGGGTAAATAAAGTCCACAAAAATTCAGTCATTTTAATAGTCATTCAAGGTGTGCGAATTGATTGGCTATATTTAGTCACAAGCCCATCCCCTGGCTAGAAGACATCAAGGCATTGTAATATGCCACTCCAATGGGGAAAGAGGTAATTTCCCAAGAGAAAAAAAACAGTGTTACAAAAAAAAAAAAAAAGAAGGATACTAGACAGCCAAAATGCATCCTTCTTTCCCTTTTGAAAATCTGAACTTTATTAAGCTATCTCCCAGTATTTATTCTATTCTTAATTCCTCAGAAATTTGTTGATGTTCTCATGATCACAGTATAAGAGACTAATAAGTGAAAGATCCTTCCTCCCCACAATATTGTCTTGCGTATTGACATGCCATGTAGCTAAAATCTTTTGACGTTATAACCATTGTTTTCTGTAGTCATCTCCAGGAGGGGTTTAACACCAACAATCATCACTAAAACAATTCATGGATGAATTTGTGAGATTAGATGGCCATAATTTATCAGCACAAAACCACATGGGAAGGAAATGAAGGACCATGAGGGCATTTTTTACTACTTTATTTTAAGTTCTGGAATACTTGTGCAGGATATGCAGGTTTGTTGCATAGGTAAACATATACCATGGTGGTTTGCTGCACCTATCAACCCATCCCTAGGTATTAAGCCCAGCATACATTAGCTCTTTTTCCTGATGCTTTCCCTCCCCCTGCTTCCCCCAGCAGCAGACCCCAGTGTGTATTCTTCCCCTCCCTGTGTCCATGTGTTCTCATTGTTCAGCTCCCGCTTATAAGCGAGAACATGCAGAGTTTGGTTTTCTGTTACTGCATTAGTTTGCAGTAACAGAGGATAATGGCTTCCAGCTCCATCCATGTCCCTGCAAAGGACATGATCTCATTCCTTTTTATGGCTGCATAGTATTCTGTGGTGTATATGAACCATATTTTCTTTACCCAGTCTATAATTGATGGGAATTTGGGTTGATTCCATGTCTTTGCTATGGCGAATAGTGCTGCAATGAACATATGTGTGCATGTATCTTTAAAATAGAATGATTTATACTCCTTTGGGTATATACCCAGTAATGTAACTGTTGGGTCAAATGGTATTTCTGGTTCTAGGTCTTTGAAGAATCACCACACACAGTCTTCCACAATTGTTGAACTAATTTACATTCCAACCAACAGTATAAAAGCATTCCTATTTCTCCACAGCCTCGCCAGTATCTGTTGTTTCTTGACTTTTTAATAATCACCATTCTGACTGGCATGAGATGGTATCTCACTGTGGTTTTGATTTGCGTTTCTCTAATGATAGTGATGTTGAGCTTTTTTTCATATGTTGGCCACATGTATGTCTTCTTTTGAGAAGTGTCTGTTCATGTCCTTTGCCCACTTTTTAATGGGGTTCTTTGGTTTTCATCTTGTAATTGTTTTTTAATTCCTTGTAGATTCTGGATATTAGACCTTTGTCAGATGGATAGATTGCAAAAATTTTCTCCTATTCTGTAGGTTGTCTGTTCATTCTGATAAAATAATTTCTTATGGTGTGCAGAAGCTCTTTAGTTTCAATTAGATCCCATTTGTCAATTTTTGCTTTTGTTGCAATTGCTTTTGACATTTTCATCATGAAACATTTCCCCATACCTATGTCCTGAGTGGTATTGCCTAGATTTTCTTCTGGAGTTTTTATACTTTGGGGTTTTACATTTAAGTCTTTAATCCATCTTGAGGTAATTGTTGTATAAGGTGTAAGGAAGGGGTCCACTTTCAGGTTTTTTGCATATGGTTAGCCAGTTCTCCCAGCACCATTTATTAAATAGGGAATCCTATCCCCATTGCTTGTTTTTGTCAGGTTTGTTGAAGTTCAGAATGTTGTAGATGTGCAGTCTTATTTCTGAGTTCTCTATTCTGTTCCATTGTCTATGTGTCTGTTTTTATAGCAGTACCATGTTGTTTTGGTTACTGTAGCCTTGTAGTACAGTTTGAAGTTGGGTAATGTGATGCCTCCAGCTTTGTTCTTTTTGCTTAGGATCGTCATGGCTATACAGGCTCTTTTTTGGCTTCATGTGAATTTTAAAATAGTTTTTTTCTAATTCTGTGAAGAATATCAATGGTATTTTAATGGAAATAGCATTGAATCTATAAATTACTTTGGGCAATATGGCCATTTTCACAATATTGATTCTTCCTATCCATGAGCATGGAATGTTTTTCCATTTGTTTGTGTCTTCTCTTTCCTTGAGCAGTGATTTGTAGTTCTCCTTGAAAAGGTCCTTCACTTCCTTGATTAGCTATATTCCTAGGTATTTTATTTTCTTTGTAGCAATTGTGAATGATAGTTGATTCATGATTGAGCTCTCTGCTTGTCTGTTCTTGGTGTGTAGGAAAGCTTGTGATTTTTGCACATTAATTTCGTATCCTGAGACTTTGCTGAAGTTGCTTATTGCTTAAGCAGCTTTTGGGCTAACACATGGGGTTTTCTAGATATACGATCATGTCATCTGCAAACAGAGACAGTTTGACTTCCTCTCTTCCTATTCGAATACGCTTTATTTCTTTCTCTTGCCTGACTGCCCTTGCCAGAACTCCCAATACTATGTTGAATAGGAGTGGTGAGAGAGGGCATCCTTGTCTTGTGCTGCTTTTCACAGGGGATGCTTTCAGCTTTTGCCCATTCAGTATAATATTGTCTGTGGGTTTGTCATAAATGGCCCTTATTATTTTGAGTTATGTTCCATCAGTACCTAGCATATTGAGAATTTTTAATGTGAAGAGATGTTGAATTTTATCAAAGGCCTTTTCTGCATCTATTGAAATAATCATGTGGTTTTTGTCTTTAGCTCTGTTTATGTTACAAATTATGTTTATTGATTTGTGTATGTTGAACCAGCCTTGCATCCCAGGGATGAAGCTGACTTGATCACGATGGATAAGCTTTTTGATGTGCTGCTGGATTCGGTTTTCCAGTATTTTATTGAGGATTTTTGCATCGATGCTTATCAGGGATATTGTCCTGAAGTTTTTTTATTGTATCTCTGCCAGGTTTTCGTATCAGGATGATGCTGGCCTCATAAAATGAGTTAGGAAGGAGTTCCCATGAGGGTATTTTTACAAGTCTGCAGCCTGGGGAACTTCCTGGAGAATAGTGATTTGGCTGGGGTTTCGGGGCAAGGCTCTAGAAGGAGGTCCTGGGCAGCATTAAGCACTACTATTATAGTTGGGGAAAGGAGCCATAGGCAAACATTTTTACAGTAAGAGTATGAACACAGAATGCTTCCTCTTATTCCACACTTGCAGCATCTGACCTTTGAAATTTGGCTACTATTGAGTTCTTCACGAGTACCACCTGTTTTTCCTACTTTGGAGAATCGGTTATAAATAAAATGAGTTACTAATATTTGGCAATGCAGTTTCAAACATGGAATAGAAAGTTTTACTGACTACTCTGCAGAGTCCTTGATGACAGATGGACCAAGCATGTGTGCATCATTTGAAAAGGCAACAGTTTGCAATGGAGGGCCAAAATCTTGTTCTGTCCACCCCGCCCCCACACACACTGCTTCTGCAGGCTGAGCTCTCTGGATAATCAGAGAGCTCTGCATATGCAAGAAAAAAACAATAGCACGAGTCTGGGGGTAGGTTTAAATTATATTTAGTTACTTTTGATTATTTAATTTTTTTAAAAGGAGATTGATGCCAAAGAGTCACTGGATGTGCTTATAATATAGAGCATTTTATAATAAAATTCTTCCAGTACAATCTCTCATGAGCACAAAATTTAGCAATCTGAACACTGCATTTACTCTCAGGCCATGAATAACTGCCACTTTCAGAATGGCCCAAATGCAGAAACAAATACAGTACAAAGATAAGAAAATGGGCTTCCATGCCAGTTTGCTAATAAATTGCCACTTCAATTCCCTAAATGAATTCCTAGTGGCCTAAGAGTTGAACTAGATTCTGAATTCCTGTCAAACTTCTGAACAGGAGCTTAGAAGCTAGTAGAAAAAGTAATAAATTATTTAGATTTTAAAAGAGTAAAGATGAAATAAAGAAAACAGTAACTGTTTATTCCATAGACCGAAGAGTTAGTTAATTTTTCTTGGAGGCAATGTGGGAAAAAATGATCCTATGCTTTGAGGAATTACTTCAAGAAGGAACTTAGAAATGCATTATATAGAATGCTGCTGATTGCAGTATAGTGGACTGAGGCAGCTGTTTGCTACAGGCTAATTTGAGGGTATAACTACATCTATGTGGGGTCATTAGAGACTACAGACTGGATCTAAACCTTAATCTAATCACATCATTCTGATTAAAATACTCCAGAGCCAAGTGCAGTGGTGCACACCTGTGATCTTAGCTCTTAGGGAGCCTGAGGCAGGAGGATCACTTGAGCTCAAGAGTTCAAGTGCAGCCTGTGCAGCATAGCAAGATGCTGTCTCTAAAATCATAATTATAATCATAATAAATGAAATACTACAGTGGCTTCTTATTGATACTAGAGTGAAGTCTAAAATCTGTAACATGACCTAAAGCATCCTGCTTTATTTGGCCCTTACCTGCTAGTCCAGCCTTTGCTCATGCTAATATGTTCTAGACACACTACCTCCTTTTATTTCTTCCAATGCCCCAAACTTCTTCTCACCCTGGGTTTTTTGCAGATACTGGCCCCTTTAACTGGGATACTAATTCTCCACTGGTTTAAGTGGCTAAATCTTAATCATCTTTCAGGCCCCATATAGCCTTCCTTAGTCTTCCCTAACTCCCACAAGAGGTCAGGTTCCCTTACTTAATTTTTTTTTTTCCCAGCACTGTCCCTTTACAGAACTCAACAGAGTCATAGTTAATTATTGGTGTGGTCAACTGCTTAGTATTTGTCTTCCCTCATATAAACTGCAGGTTTCATGACAGCAGGGAGTGCATCTGTTCTAATCATTCTATATCCCAAAACCTAGTACAGTGCCTACTAATATATGGTAGCTATTAGTGAATGAATGAATCTCAGTATTGCAATTTAGGACTCTCAATCTTAATTCAGCACTAATTCTTCCTACCCTAAATTCTAAGATAAAAAAGCCAGGATGATTATAAATTAATAATGGGTAATAATTTATAATAATGAGAGAGCAAAGGCATTTCTCAAACTGAGAAACAGATTGCTTCCAAAATTTCACTTGTACATATGTGTTTATGACTGTGGAATATGTTTTTCAATCATTTTTGGAGTCCTAGGCTAATTCAAAAGGATTGATCTAGCAAAAAACATGCTTAAGTATGGTACATTCAGTATGATTTAAACTAAATTTAACCACAATTTATAATAGTATTTCTATAGGAGAAGACATTCAGGATTCTACATAAAGATACAAGAATTTATCTTGTTTCAGCAGATTTCCCTTGACCCTCCCTCTCCCATGACAGAGGTGGCCAAGGGGTCTAAGGAAAAAGAGGTGGAAGAGGGGGACTGCTGTTGGAGTAGTCACCCATGGCCAGAGTTAATACTTCTAGACACGCATAACATTTTATTTCTTACCACTATCCTTCACTTTTCATGTGACTTGCAGTAGTAGAAAAAATAGCAGGGGTGTCACCTATGGGAAGAGTGGTACATGGAACAGGGTTATGAGTAATATGGAGAAAATACTACAATGTTACCAGTTGCTTTTAAATCAGATAGCTATTCATACATCAAGGATTACTTGTTCTCATGTCTCTTAGCTAAGACATACTTTTCCCAAAATAATAATTATAAGATTCTTCTTAAGCTTAAAGTGAGAAAGAAGGTACTTGAATAATTTATATAGAAGCCAAATGATTTATACCTACTCTGTCCAGAGAACACCTTGCTAGTGGCTGAAATTCCTGTGTTTTATCTAGGGGTCAGATACACAGTGCCTTTTTTCCATGGATGCTGCTAGCTAAATACTTACAATTTCTTTACTTTGCCTCTCTTCATTTTTAATATTTGCTATTGGCCTACCAAATGCTTCAGTCATTACAACCTAAATATACTTTCCAAGGTTAGAGTTTATTCTCTATCATCATATTTTAGATTGGCTTAAATTTGATGAGATGTTAGGAAAAAAAAACACTTTAAAGTTACCACCAACCTTTTTAAATTATATTTAAAGTGGATCTCCTTTTGTGAAGTTGTTTTCAAATAATCCTATCCACTGTGTGTTGATTTCTGTGCCTCATCCCTAAATTCAAAGCTGGGATGTCTTTGAATGTTTGGAGTCTTTTATGTTGAGAGTCTTTTAACATTTATCCTCTTCCTACATTTCTCCTGTCTCATTTTCCACACTCATTGTCTTAAGTCTAGGTTAAAATTACATGTGAAGCTAGAGGAGACCGGAAGTTGGTGTGAGGGTTCGAGGTGGCAGGTAACTGAAGTAAATTCCTATAGAAGAGGGCCTTAGAAGCAGCGATCTAATTGATTAAAAAAAAGTCAGGGGAGCTTCTCTTAAAGTTGTGATTTTGGAGTGAGCACACTTTTTTCCTAGACTATCTGTTTGTTTAAGGGTGGCTTCAGAGTGGGTTTGGCCCTTTTGATTGATTTTTTTGTTTTTTCTTTCCCTACTTTTGAGAGAATTGATATGGGTAAGGAAAAAACTTTTTCCTCTACCATAAGGAACATCAGCAGTCCAAGTGTGATAATAAATGGCAAATGACATTGTTCTTAGGGAGAAAAAAGGAGTGATAGGAACATGATAAAATGGAAAGTGCCCCATTTAAAAGACGCAGCTGCTTCTTGGTTCAAGTGGATGATTGTTATGTGGGAATGTTGGCAGTATGTTATCAGTGTTTTCTATTTTTCTAAAGAAGCCAGAAATCCAGACTTTTATGTGAGCTCTCCCAATTTTTTTCAGCGTTGGCTCAAACTAATGCTTTTTGTGACTCTACAAGACAGTATGGCATCTTTCTTTTTTTTCAGGAGACACTGACATCCGTTCTATCTCACTGACTCATTTGGTGGGAACAAGAAGTCCACATGCCAATGCAAATAAAGAAGGGAGAAGAGGTTCAGGAAGAGGGGGGAGCGGGGGAGACATTCTGCAATGTATAAAGATAATGAGCATTGGTGCTTTATTTTTTACCAAAATATATATGTTTCACCAAGATCAATTCTTGAGATGTCAAAAACATGTATGTTAGTGAGAAACTTACAATTTTAAAAAGAAATGCTATAACCTTTAAAACAGGAAATGAAGAAGGAATATTGATATATAGAACTGTGATAAATCTGGAAAGATTCTGCTCATTTTTAAAAATTGTTTTAAAAATACCTTTTATAGAGACAGGGTCTCACTATGCTGGAGTGCAGTGGCATGATTATAGCTCACTGTAACCTCTAACTCCTGGGCTTAAGTGAACTCCCACCTCAGCCTCCCTAGTAGCAGGGACTACAGGCACGTGTCACCATGCATAGCTAAAGATATGCCCTTATAAGGAATTGATGTTGGTTAATGGCAAAAATACAGAGAAATGTATTGTATGACAAACAACAAAATTCAAGATACTGCTTATCTGGGATACAATCTCAGAGGGGTACCAAAAGTCTTATTTTGTTGGTGTTTTATTTCTTAAGGTGGGTGGAAATGTGAGTGTACAATATAAATTGTTAAAAATGTTTTATATATCTGAATTATTTCATAAGTACATTTTAAAAGAATAAATGTTAGTTCTTTGTCAGACCTGTGAATGTTTTTTTTTTCTGCCAAACAGTTATATTTTCTTTTCAAGGCCAAGAAGGAAAAGACTCTTAGGCTTTTCTTCCTGTGCTAAAAATCTCTCAGCCTCTGCCAGAAAAATGACAGGGGTCTGAGCTGAAAAGTACATTTCAGCTTGTCATGAAGGTTGAGGAGTTATCAGAAATGTGCTAGCTAATAGCACAGAGAGGACTCCAACAATTGAACCCTAGATTTCTGTTTGCTCCCTAAACCTAACCAGGGATGTTTATAGAATGACATTGCTCAGGTGTTTGCTGTGATTTCTAGAAGAAAGTGATTAAGATGGATTAGTAATTCCTGAAAAATACCAGGCTCCACATTAGGCATATCATCATCATCATCATCAACAATTAACATCCATGTAACATTTAACAGTATACAAAAAGACTTTACACACACTTTCTTTTTTTGTTTGTTTGTTTGTTTTTTATTATTATACTTTAAGTTCTAGGGTACATGTGCACAATGTGCAGGTTTGTTACATATGTATACATGTGCCATGTTGGTATGCTGCACCCATTAACTTGTTATTTACATTAGGTATATCTCCTAATGTTTTCCCTCTCCCCTACCCCCACCCCACGACAGGCCCCGGGACACACACTTTCTTATCTCTGCCTCAGAACAACCCTAGAAAGAACAGACAATAAGTATTATTATATCCATTGTGTGGCTGAGAAAACTGAGGATCAGAGTGATTTTTCCCAAGGTCAATGAGCTATTGTCAGAGCACTGACCTAAAACCCTTCTGATTCCAAACATTTGCTCTTTCTTCATATGCTCTGGTTTAGCTCAATGGTTCAGCTACCCTAACTCCAATACGGAGTGACATTTGATGAGGCGGTTCCAAGATTCTAACCCTCCAAAATTAAGAATTAATTAAATATCTCTAATCCTCCTAATAGGTTGATGGGGATACATAGCCATGACTTTACCAAAATTTTCTAGACAATTACCCACCAGTCACTTTTCTTTTCCAATCCCACAGTCAAGTCTGTGTATCTGTCTTAGGCTATGGGTTTAGCAATGTAAACAAAAAAATAAAATTCTAAGCCCCTTGGTTGACTGATGGACCCTCCCCTTAGCCAAGGGCATTTCAAAGTCAACCCGAAAAACTAGTTCAGACCATAATGGGAAGGGGAGTTGGACATGCCTCATTATTTCCTCCCTTTTGGAATTCTGGCACAGCTGACTAGCATTAGTACTAAAATAGACCTTAAGACTGACAAAACAGACTTTGTAACAACGAGATACCAAATTCTAGCCTGACTCTAGTACAGCATCACATGACAGATAGCAGGCCCTGAAAGAAATTGAAGTGTTTTACCTCAAATTATGTTCCTTTGCCATATCTTGAAATAGTCCTGCAAAGCTGTCTCTTGTGGGAAAAATCTACATTCTGAAGAGAATCCCCTTACTTTTCCAGGCCTTTTTCCTGATTCAGGAAAGAATCAGCTGTGATAAGAAACGTTTACAATGTATTCCCTCTGAAGCCTGCTACCTGGAGGCTTCCTCTGCATAACCCACAACTCTTCTTCTTAACCCAGACATTCCCATCTATTGATTCTAGGTCTTTGGACAGTAACTTAACCTTTCAGCCAATTGCCAATCAGAAAATCTTTGCATCTACCTATAATTTGGAAGCCCCCACTTCGAATTGTCGTGCCTTTCCAGACCAAACCAATGTACATCTTACATGTATTAATTGATGTCTTATGTCTCCCTAAAATGTATAAAACCAAGCTATAGCCCGACCACCTTGGTGGATCTCCTGACAGTTGTGTCACAGGCCATTGGTCACTCATATATGGCTCAGAAGAAATCTCTTCAAATATGTTAAAGCAAATATTTTATAGCATTTAACTCTTCATCTACAGCTGTGCCCCAGACTTGATGACCAATCCTGTTCTTAATCCTGAATAACTACAAAAAAAGCCTCACATGTAAGAATAATATCTCAGTCTGTCAGTCCCATCTGATATAGTATCTATGTTCTTGTAAACATGCTTTTGCCTGTGAAAGGAAAATAAAACCTAAGGATTCCAAACTCACTATGCCAAAGGGAAAAGTCAAGCTGGGAACTAGGTCATGTAAACCTGCCTCCCATTTTGTTCCTAAATAGATAGCTACAAAGATAAAAGGCTACATATCTCCCTCACAATTTGCTCACCAGAAAATTCCCTGTGAACCCCAAGATCTTTATCCTAAAACAAATCTGTCGAATTTCACCCTGACAATGTAAATTGACAGCTTATTGTCACAGCCACAGGACAAACGAGAAAACTAAAAGTCATCCCTCCGTTCACCAGAGACAAGTGCATATCTGACTGCTTCCTCAACTCTTTTTTTATCATATGTAAAAATACAGAGTTACTGAGCACAAGATGAATGCATAATTGCCTGTTCTTCTACCCGCTCCTTTCACATATAAGATGTGGATTCAGTGAACACTAATTGAAGACTCAAGAGAATGCAACAGCTGCCCCCTTTATCTACCCTTCCCTCTTTTTATTTTCCTTCTTCTTTCTCCTACTGCCTGCTCTTCCCCCTAAATATTGAAGTTCCCAGATCCTCTGTGGAAAAAGCATGAATCACAGATTGTTCCTGTGTTTTGTTTTGTTTTGGGGGGGTTTTCTTGTTTGGTTGGTTGGTTGGGTGTTTTGTTTTGTTTTGTTTTGCTTTGCTTTGCTTTGCTTTGCTTTGCTTTGCTTTGCTTTGCTTTGCTTTGCTTTGCTTTGCTTTGCTTTGCTTTGCTTTGCTTTGCTTTGTTTTTTGAGATGGAGTTTCACTCCTGTTGCCCAGGCTGGAGTACAATGGTGCGATCTTGGCTCACTGCAACCTCCGCCTCCTGGATTCAAGCAATTCTCCAGCCTCAGCCTCCCAGGTAGCTGGGTTTACAGGTGTGCACCACCACTCCCAGCTAATTTTGTATTTTGTATGTGTGTGTTCCTTTTTCCTGAGTGTGTCCTTAACCTTGGCAAAATAAACCTCTAAAATGATTGAAATTCACCTCAGTATTTTCTTTGATTTGCAGCCTATAAAACATTTTTTTAAAAATTTGCACAGGTTTTGTTTTTAAGTAACTGGCAACAGCATTTCTTAACTAAATGGTTTTCACTCATTGTTCTCATCTTCACAGTTCTGCCATTAAACTGAATATCCAAATGTGCATAAATCCTGAATCCTAGGCTATTCTGGCCAATCAGCAAGAGAAAGGTATGCACTGGAATCTGGCGTGAGTTTTAAATATGTTTCAATATGTTCTCTACTCTTCTGTCTCTATGTATTGGCCAAGTGTTTGAATGTTTTTGAAAATCTGACTAATGAAGGCTTAAATATACAGTGGTTTATTTTTCCCATATTACAGAGAGCCTAGAGATAAATGTTTCTCTCTGCTGGTATTAGTTAATCTTCTCAACAATGCCAGAAGCCTAAGCTCTTTCTATTTTTCAGCTTTATCATCCAAATCATGTTGGATTTTATCCTCATGCTTAGTGCCTCATAGTAGCAAAATGGCCTCTGAAGCTATAGACTCCATATCTGCATTCAAAGTAAGAAGAATACTTTGGGGGCTGGAAGTAGGGGAGAACAGTGTCAACAGCATCTGTTCCTTTTTATTTAAAAAAAATCACCAGAAATTTCATCAACAGATTTCACCTTAGGTCTCATTGGAGAGAACTGGATCATGTGGCTACCCCAAGCTGAAAAGAATAGGAAAGGAAAGGTGTCATAATTGGCATACCAGTCATCAGGCTTCTGTAGCAAGAAAGAAACAAATAATAGATTTAGAACATATAGCTAATTTCATTTGCCTTAAATATGCAATCTGAAACCATATTTTTTTGCAATCCTTTAGCAAAGAGGTAAGGTAAAAAAATCCAATAATTTCTTATAAATAAAAGAAATATAGAAGTTTAGTAAATTTTGAATACTTATTTCTCCTTGTTCTCTCCTATCCATGCCATAATTAATTTTAGTGAAAATCAGCAGCAGCAGACTTTCTTCTAGTTGAGGAAGGTCAATGAAGTGTGAAAATCTTAGGCTCTTTATTCACATAGAGAATATTCTAGTATGTGATCTTTCTGTCTCTGTCTCTCTTTCTCTCTCCCTCCCACTCATTTTCTCTTCCCTCTTTTCTTTCTGAAAATTCATTCATTTTTCTATTTCCAGGATGATTTCTATGGGCTACTCTAAAGTCCATCATACCCTAATTAGGAGAGAAAGTGGTGATCACTTCGCACACAAAAAAACCTTGGCCTAAGATGGAGATCCATTGTATTCAATAACTACAAATTGTTTTATATTAATGCTATAGAGATGACAAGTTTCTCTTGGCAATATTTTTCTCATAAGTAGACAACTATTGCCTTTTGTGGTCTTGTAACAAAGTGCACCTACCATTACTGGACATGTCAACTGACACTTTGAACAGGTTTGAATTGCCTAGAGCTCTGAAAATTGATAAGAAAAATTAGAGCCTATTTCAGCTTTTCAAAAGCTCAAGTATCAAAATGTAAACCTCTCTTTGTACTAACTTCCTTGTCCCAAAATGCTGATTTGGTCTTTCAAGTTGTTTGCTTGTTTAGATGTAAGAATTTCCCAGTTTTCATAGTTTCTGCTCTGTCAAATAAAGGAATAAAATGTACTTTCTAAATTTAATCATATATGTTTAATCTCTGGAAACTGAAATGTGAATTCTCTAAGCTTCAATGTTAAAACCCATTGATTTAACATTCAACAGATATTTTGGGGTGTTTACACATTGTGTACAGACACTGTAATAAGAACAAAAGATAAAATAGTGAATAAGATATTGGTGTCTGCCCTTACCAAGCTTATAGTAGAGTACAGAAGACAGATATTTTCAACCAGAGAAGGTTTCCCAAAGTTATGTCAACAAAAACCTTGAGTCACTTAAGGATAGCAATGCCAGCTGCTGAAACAACCCCAAGTTCTCCACAGTTCCACACACTAATGATTTATTCTTGCTCATGTTACAGTCAAATGAAAGTCCCAGGCACCTTTCTTAGGACTCTGTTCTCCTCAAAGTCCTCTGAGTCCTTTCCAGTCAGATGGGTGGATGGAGAGGTTGAGGAAGGTTTGGTTTCTTGTGGCAGGTTTTTTTAATGGGCTTGTGGCAGGCATACCACTTCCACTCACATTTTATTTAGTCATATGATCACACCTAACTGCAAGGAAGACTAGGAAATGTAGTCTAGCCACGTGCCAAGGATAAAGAAGGAAAGATGGATACTGGTGAGCACAAGTAGTTTGCCTGCCCAAACCTGAGAGGTGGGTAGAAATTAGCCATAAAATCTGAAAGAAGAGAGAAGTAGGAAAGAGGCAATGAAGAAAGTTACAGACAGAGAAAACATAAAGTGCAAGACTCAGAGGTGAGACAGCATGACATTTGGGAGCTAAAAGTTGTTCATTGGGGCTCAAATATGGAATTCAAATTGGAAAAGCAAATGACAAGAAGATTATGAACATCTTCATAGACCATTTTAAGGAAAGTTGGCTTTATACAAAAAAACTGGGTACCATTAAAGGTTTGAATCTTAGCAATGAAATTATCAGGTTAGATATTTAGAAAAACAGTAATTGCTGTGTATGGAAAAGAAATTGGAAGAAATAAGGGAGAGCTAGATAGGAAAAAAATTAAGAAGCTGCTTTAATAGTCCAGGTGAAGGAGCTTGAACTAGGTCAATGTCACAGTAAGTTGAGGGAAAAAATTATTTTTTTGTTTGGGAGATATTTAGGAGGCAGAATTAAAATAATACAATTTCTGATTAGATGTGGGTTGCATGTAGCATTAACCTGCAACATTTTGGGATTTTTTCTGTATTGTAGCTAGGTCTACTTACTTGTTTATCTAGGTAAGCGAGAGCAAACACTCTTACATCATATAACTACCCATTTATCAATCTTTGAAATGAGACTAGGGTGTTCCCAACACAAAGATCAAGATATCACCAATATATTCCACTTGGAATTATAAATGCAATTTGGGACTTGAACTCCTTGTCCAAGGCCATTTGCCAGACATCATTATATAAGTCAGTAACTGAGATGAATTAGGAAGTTCTCAATTGACTCTGGGCATCTGATATCTCATTTATTTCATTTCACATATTTCTAAAATTTATAGAATTTCCCAAATTAAAACAAGTTTATCTGTCCTATCACAAATTGGCTTATGTATTGGTCTGGAGTGAGTGTTTAATTTTGTCACTAGCTGAAGAAGTTGAGGACATCTTCATCAGATAAGAAGCAAGAGGCACCAATGGCTTTGGCTTGCACAGGCCTTGCCATCACGTTTCTGGAATTATTTGCTTGGCAGAACCCCAGACTGTGTCCTGGGACCTACTACCTTAGGACATTTTGTTTTGTAATATCAAATCACAAAGATGTTACTCGCCAAGACTCACACTGTTGTCCACCTGGCCAGGCCTGACCATTTTACAAATTGAAAGTAGTGGACAGAAGATGTTATGGAAAATAGGCTATGCCCACAAGTTCATCATTAGGAGTAACTGCCTGCTGGATTCTAAAACTCCCTGGTGTGTTCCCTACTCTGCTCCTGATCAGTGATCCTGAGTGACATCTTGTTGTTCCTGGTTCTATTTCTTCATTCCTCTCTCCCTTAGACGTAGCTAGTACCTTCTTACTTCCTCATGAATCCCATTCGCTTCCTTGTGCACCACATGTATTCTGATGCCACACTCTGACCTCCAATCTTTCTGAATCTGGTTTCTGGCTCTTCCCCAGGAGGGAAGTATGTATTTCTTTCAGGTGCTGTACTTCTATCCCATCGTGGAGCTTCCCTTACCCTCTGGAGAGCGTCTACCTTACACCTACCGTTCTGACTTCACCTCTACCCACCTCTTTTGCTCTCTGCAACTGGAATTATCTGTTGGACCCCATCTGTTGCTCCAACTGTAATACCACTTGTTTTCTAGTCCTGTAAGATGTGATCATATGGCTAACTTCATATATTTCTTCTTTTTAGATTTGAGATTTAAGAAATTTGCAGCAACAAGAATTGACTGATGGCAACTACTATTTCTTAATAAGAGTATTTTACTTATGTTCTCTGGTTCTTGAGATTCAAAATGTATTTTGAGGTGAGTTTATTCTACTCATTTAGTTGACAAATATTAGCTAAAACTGCACTATCTGAGCCAGATGCAGTGATTGCTAATGTCATGGTTTTAAAATATTATGAAGTTCATATCTCTGCACTTAAGCTCAGAAGGTACTGTCTTAGGGGGGTTGCCCCTGTTTTTCTGAGTGCAGTAAGATCCTCAATAACTATTGCTATTTCTTGAAGAATCATTTTTAACTCTCAAAGGAAATTTTTACTTCACTCTATCAAGTTTTACTGCAATGTTTCAGTGTTACTTATTCATTTTTCCCCCGATTCTTTTTTAAATAGAAGAAACTCTTTAAATTATTATTATACTTTAAGTTCTAGGGTACATGTGCACAATGTGCAGGTTTGTTACATAGGTATATATGTGCCATGTTGGTTTGCTGCACCCATTAACTCGTCATTTACATTAGGTGTTTCTCCTAATGCTATCCCTCTCCCTGCCCCCACCCCACAACAGGCCCCCATGTGTGATGTTCCCCACCGTGTGTCCAAGTGTTTTCATTGTTCAGTTCCCACCTATGAGTGAGAACATGCGACATCATGCTACTATAAAGACACACGCACACGTAGGTTTATTGCGGCACTATTCACAATAGCAAAAACTTGGAACCAACCCAAATGTCCATCAATGATAGACTGGATTAAGAAAATGTGGCACATATATACCATAAAATACTATGCAGCCATAAAAAAGGATAAGTTCATATCCTTTGCAGTGACATGGATGAAGCTGGAAACCATCATTTTGAGCAAACTATCACAAGGACAGAAAACCAGAAGAAACTTCTAAAAATAGTTTTTCAATAAACTATTCTTTGTTATAAGTAATTTTTACATATTTTATAACTTCCATTTTCCTAAATATCTTTTATGGCGTTCAACTTCATGATGACATGATGAAGCAAATTTAGGCCATGTGATGTAAAGTCCTTTGAAGGCAAAAGGAGACATGCATATGATCTTCCAAAATGCTTTCAAGTTAGTTACGTCATTATTCAACAGAGCAAATATCTTCCCATTCTCTGCCTACTGCAGGACAGCACACATTTCACAATTAACTCAGTCTCCTGAGTGCTGTCCTCTTCTGTTTCAGGGTGTCTCCTACAAAAAATAATTGGACATGTTTTTGACCATTTTATGTTTTCTTATTCCTGAATATTTATCCATTTACCAATAAGTACTATAAGACACAATGCCTCACTGATTCTTCCTTTCAAGATCCCATTACTTGTTTATATTTTGAATCTAAAATGAGACTTGGCCAGGCGCGGTGGCTCATGCATGTAATCCCAGCACTTTGGAAGGCTAAGGCCAGGAATCGCTTCAGCCCAAGAATTCAAGACCAGCCTGGGCAACATGGCAAAACCTTTTCTCTACAAAAAATAAAAAAAAAAATTAGCCGGATGTGGTCCCGTGTTTGTGGTCCCAGCTGCTTAGGAGGCTGAGGTGTGAGGATCGCTTGAGGCCAGGAAGTGGAGGTTTCAGTGAGCTGAAATTGTGCCACTGCACTCTAGCCTGGGCAAGAGACAGACCCTGTCTCAAAAAAAAATAATAATAAAAATAAAATGAGCCTTGCTTTAAAAATAACATGTGCTGGAAAAATTAAATGGTGGGCTTAAGAATTTAAAACACCTTAAGAATAGTTACTACTTATTGAATACCTAACGTGTACAATGCATCGTGTTAGGTGCATTTAAAGATTTTATTATTAATCCTCACAGTAAAAGGTATGTCTTATTATCTCCATTTTGTAGATAAAAAAGAGGTAACTGAAGCTCAGAAAGGTTTAATAATTTATCTAAGGTCACACAGCTAAAAAGTAACAGAATCAGAATTTGCAGTCAAGTCTGATTCCAACACCTAGGCAAATTCTATTACACCATGTTGCATCTAATGCATGTTAATTCTAAGTTTTGAAGTAGTGGCGAAATGAATTAATTGGAATAAGCCTAGGAGAACAGGAAGAACTTTCAGGGTAGGATAAAGGCTGGCATCTAAATATGAGGGCATGCCCAGGAATTTTTTATTTTAAGATGCATTGGATTTTTATTGCTGCCTTAACAAATTACCACAAACTTGGTGGCTTAAGTCAATTCAAATTTACTTATAATTCTGTAGTTCAGGAGTCCAACATGGGTCTCACTGGACCAAAATCAAGGTGTCAGCTTGGTTGTGTAGCTTTCTGGAAGCCATAGAAAATAATCCATCTTCCTGCCTTTTCCATCTATAGAGGCCACCTGCATTCCTTGGTTTGAAGCCCCCTTCTTGCATCTTCAAAGCCAGTAACAAAGCATCTTTTTAACCCTGCTTCCATTGGCACATATCTTCCTCTGTCTTCTTTCACCTCCTTCTTTCAGTTTTAAAAGCTTGATTACATTGGGCCCAATTGGATAATCCAGGATAATCTCCCTATTTTAAAGGCAGTTGATTAGCAAACTTGATTCCATCTGCAACTTTGATTCCTTTTTGCCATGGAACCTAACATATGTGTAGATTCTGGGGAGTAGGACTTGGATGTCTTCGGGAAACCATTATTCTGCCCACCACACAGAGCTAGACACAATGAGATGTAAATCTCAGAGTAAATATAGACCTAGGACATTAGTGTCCTAAAAAGAGGGCAGGAAGATCATGAGTACAGTCAGGTGAAGTTCAAATCAAATCTAAGAAGGGTGTGTAGTAAAATAAGCAATCAAAGGTAAATCATGTATAGGCCATTGGCAGAAATCAAGCAGGGCATTTGGAAATTAGGACAAGAGTTAATAAGCTGTTATGGGTTGAATGGGCTGAATTGTGTATCCCCAAAATTGATACATTGAAGTTCTAAGCCCCAGTTTCTCAGATGTGACCTTATTTAGGAATAGTATCCCTGCAGATGTAATCAGTTAAGATGAGGTCATAATGAAGTACAGTGTGCTCCTAATCCAACATGACTGATATCCTTATAAAGAGAGAACACCACGTGAGCCTGAAGGCAGAGATCAAGGTGATGCCTCTACAGGTCAAAGAATGTTAAAGATTGCCAGCAAACCACCAGAAACTAAGGGAAAATTGTGGAGCAGATTCTCTCTCATAGCCCTCAGAAGGAACCAACCCTGGTGACACTTTAGACTTCTAGCTTTTAGAACTGTAAGACAATAAATTTCTGTTTTTCAAGCTATCCAGTTTGTGGTACTGTGTTATAGCAGCCCTGGCAAACTAATACATAAGCTTCAGAGAATAACATGAGAGCTGAAGAAATTGGCAGAAAGCTCAGTCAATGGTGTAATTAGGAGATAGGAAATAAACACAACCAGGAACAGATGCGACACCAGGGTTAGAGAGGGGCCAGCAACAAATCGGACTTGATCTCAAATTAACAAATTGGGTAGGACTTATTCCAAGACCCTGAAAGGAAGCAGAGCCTGGTTTTGGGACAAAGGAGCTGGCCGGGTTAAGAAGCCAGTCAGGTGCGCTGCCAGTGAGCAGCATAGCCCTGTGACAAATACATTCTTCTTACAAGTGCTTGGTCAATTTATTGACTGATTCTCTGTGGTTACCTTGCCTACAAATGAAGGCCGCTGAAAGGTTTTTGTGTATTCATTTGTTTTAAATATTTGGTTACTCAAGGAAGTTAATTGGCTACCTCTCTCTGTTCACTTTGCAGAAGCAGCAACAGGAGAACATCTGGAGAGAGAAGGGTGAGAAATGCAACTTGTCTTTTGTGTGGTTCTTCCTCTCTTATATCTATGAAAGATTTCTTTTTTAAAAATAAACTTCAATGAACTTCTTACATACAAAAATGCACTTGGTCATCCCAGTAGCAGTGGAATTGTACATTTTGGACAGTATATGAATCTTTCTTTTTCCTCATTAGCATTAAATTTCTTTGAATTATACATGCAAGAAATTGGTTTCACCATTCTGCTGTAGGGTAAACAAAGAAAAACATAGATAATTGGCTACTTTGCATATAAATGCCAACCTACAGCACATACCAATGTAGAGATGGGTTAAATGTAAACAAATTTCTAGTCTTACAAGTTTCACTTCACTGCCAAGGTCAAGCAGGTGATTATACAATAACACCACATAAGTAAAACTTCAATGGCAATTTATATAAGCTAGGAAGACATGCTAATGTTGTTGAAATATGGTCCAGTATTCACACTCATATATATTTAAACCCTTGCCTATCAATGATCTTTAAATTCCTTTGTGGAAATCCATATTCTAATTGCCATATTTTTGTTTTTAGATTTATTTATTCTTTTTTCTCTCTTTCTTTCTCTTCCTCCTTTCTCTCTCTCTCTCTCTCTCTTTCTCTCTCCCTCTCTCGCTCTCTCATGTGTTTTAAGTATTAGGGCAATATGCTTCTTGATTCCAGTCCCTAAGGGGCAGATTTCTGCTGCAACCACTATTTACCCCCAAGCTTCAAGTCTTAATCAGCAGAATAGGAAAACTTCCCAACTTTTAAATTAGAACTCTATAAGCAAAGAAATCTCTTCATTCTTTCTTCTTCTCAGCTTGGGAAAATGGATGGGTATCCTGATTTTTACTTTTGTATTTGAGAACTATACTGTGTTGCTTGTCAACTGACATTGTGCAGATTGTTACATAAGAAAATATTCTTTGGAGTTTGGGAAATGCAAGTGCTAGAGAGCAATAGAGAAAAACTTCATTCTGAACTTTTTATTAATATTTTAAACAATTTTATTTTTAGTATATATTTTTAAATTCTGTATTTAGAAAATAACTATTTAATTTTTCCTTCCCATACCCCTTCATTCTGACTCATCTCTCCTACAAATCATGTGAACACTCTCGGCAATCTTCTTTTCAGAGATTCTCTCTTAGAAGGGAAATCAAAGAGGAAACAAACAAATGGAAGAACATTCCATGCTCATGGATAGGAAGAATCAATATTGTGAAAATGGCCATACTGCCCAAGGTAATTTATAGATTAAATGCCGTCCCCATCAAGCTACCAATGACTTTCTTCACAAAATTGGAAAAAACTACTTTAAAGTTGATATGGAACCAAAAAAGAGCCTGCACTGCCAAGACGATCCTAAGGCAAGAGAACAATGCTGGAGGCATCATGCTACCTGACTTCAAACTATACTACAAGGCTACAGTAACCAAAACAGCATGGTACTGGTACCAAAACAGAGATATAAACCAATGGAACAGAACAGAGGCCTCAGAAATAACACCACACATCTACAACTATCTGATCTTTGACAAACCTGACAAAAACAAGAAATGGGGAAAGGATTCCCTATTTAATAAATGGTGCTGGGAAAACTGGCTAGCCATCTGTAGAAAGCTGAAACTGGATCCCTTCCTTACACCTTATACAAAAATTAATTCAAGATGGATTAAAGACTTAAATGTTAGACCTAAAACCATAAAAACCCTAGAAGAAAACCTAGGCAATACCATTCAGGACATAGGCATGGACAAGAACTTCATGACTAAAACACCAAAAGCAATGGCAACAAAAGCCAAAATTGACAAATGGGATCTAATTAAACTAAAGAGCTTCTGCACAGCAAAAGAAACTATCATCAGAGTGAACAGGCAACCTACAGAATGGGAGAGAATTTTTACAATCTACCCATCTGACAAAGGGCTAATATCCAGAATCTACAAAGAGCTTAAACAAATTTACAAGAAAAAAATCAAACAACCCCATCAAAAAGTGGGCAAAGGATATGAACAGACACTTCTCAAAAGAAGACATTTATGTAGCCAACAGACACATGAAAAAATGCTCATCATCACTGGCCATCAGAGAAATGCAAATCAAAACCACAATGAGGTACCATCTCACACCAGTTAGAATGGCAATCATTTAAAAGTCGGGAAACAACAGGTGCTGGAGAGGATGTGGAGAAATAGGAACACTTTTACACTGTTGGTGGGACTGTAAACTAGTTCAACCATTGTGGAAGTCAGTGTGGTGATTCCTCAGGGATCTAGAACTAGAAATACCATTTGACCCAGCCATCCCATTACTGGTTATATACCCAAAGTATAATAAAACATGCTGCTATAAAGACACATGCACACGTATGTTTATGGTGGCACTATTCACAATAGCAAAGACTTGGAACCAACTATGATAGACTGGATTAAGAAAATGTGGCACATATACACCATGGAATACTATGCAGCCATAAAAAATGATGAGTTCATGTCCTTTGTAGGGACATGGATGAAGTTGGAAACCATCATTCTGAGCAAACTATCGCAAGGACAGAAAACCAAACACCACATGGTCTCACTCATAGGTGGGAATTGAACAATGAGAACACTTGGACACAGGGTGGGGAACATCACACACCGGGGCCTGTCGTGGGTTAGGGGTAGGGGGAGGGATAGCATTAGGAGATATACCTAATGTAAATGACGAGTTAATGGGTGTAGCACACCAACATGGCACATGTATACACATGTAACAAAGCTGCATGTTGTGCACATGTACCCTAGAACTTAAAGTATAATTTTAAAAAAAAAGAAGGGGAATAAAAAACAAAAATAAAAGAATACATTTTTCTGACATTTCAAGGAATGGGATCTCTAGGTAGGAGGAGACAACTGACCACCCCACCCCAACTCTGTGTCCTTGGGGTTCACCTTCCCATTGATGCCCCCATTCTGAATCCTCAGGGGTCTACAATAAAACTCCAACCAAAATAGGAAGAAAACCCCTTTCCTTGGTTTCCTTTGGCATGGCTTAGGCAGGATAGAACCTTCAGTACAACTCTACTATAGGAAGGGACGAGGAGAAAGGGAAATAAAAGAGTACAAAAACATAAAAACAATACAGTTTCCAAGCACAGGTTCCTGATACTCCTGCTGTCTGTCCTGCATGTACCTGCTGTCTGAGAAATGTGCATAGCCTCAAAGTATCCTCTTAGTAATCTCCACCAAGAGTTCCTTTTAATCATCTGTAGCTAAACTAAGCAAGACTAGGTGACTTTTGCTTGCAATCTATTACTGATCCAATTTCTAATATGAAAAACTTTCCTCTTCCCAGGTACTTTATTTCTGTAATAATCTCGCCTTTCAGATGAGATCCTAATTCCTTAACTGCCAAGATGTGGCTACATGTATAACCACAGCTTATGAGATATTGTGTAAATTTAAAGTTTAAAGTAATTTACCTTCAACAACAGGAGACTTGTTTCATTATACTACTTTTAATACCATCAGAGGTATAAAAAGAATGAGCATTTGGTGTTAGAACATCCAAGTTTGAATCCTAAATCCATCATTTACTAGTTATTTCACTCAAAGCAAAGCAGAAACTTCACAGATTTCCAGTGTCCTCATCTGGAAAATGGGGATAATAATGTCACCTCTGCCTGCATCACTATAATATTCTACTGAAAAATGATGTTTCAAAATGGCTTTATAATTACAAAATTTTAAACAAACACAAGCTCTTAGCATTACTGTTCTCTGTATGCCACTTTAAATAAAGCATTTTTAGAGGAAGACAGAAGATAAACACACAAAAAGTATGCAAATAATCTAAATAAAGCTCAGTTTTAGCATGGCATCATTCTGAAAGAAACAACAGTTTAACAACCAAAATCATAATGATTGACAGTATTATAGTAACTAAAAAGCAATTTAAATATTTACAGAAGTCTCTCAAAAATACCAAATGGAAATTTTAGCCTAACACATAGAAAAAGTTCTTAAAATTTTCTTTCTCCATCTCTTTCTGTATAGCTTTCATGCTCTTTAGTTCTATCTCCAAACCAACTTCAAAATTCAAAATAAACCTTTTCCCCAAACCAGCCCACTCTGGCTCTTATCCCCAGTTTCTTTCACCTTTTTGGTCTATTATTTTAGTTTTCCAATAACTCTCTTCTTTTACCCCTATAGCAAGCCCTTCTAGCTGGGTTCCTTTCAAATATTTCCTTCACCTCTCACACTGATTCTGTACAAGATAGACCCATAAAACTCAGCTGGCAAACACATAATTCTCCTTATGGATCAAGAGAAAAGAAGTTCTGGATACTTGTGAGTTATTTTTTCATGTGGCTATAAATATGATGTTTATTACTATTACATCTTGTGAAATTTAGAGTGAAACTTATTTTCTAAAGTCTCCCTCAAAACACTGTATATGGACAAGGAGTTATGTGGCTCTCCGACAGTCCACTGGCACCTTTTCATCCACATTTGTTATTTACTTTGAAAAATTGTTCTTTCAATTCTTTAGAACTTTTAGGTAACTACTATCTTGCTTAGGTCATTTGTTTGCATGATATTTATCAATTCTGCCAGAAGTGAGTTTGCAAATACATACAGCACTTGCTGCCATCCCTCCCTCCCATGTTCATGGCAGATATCATTAATGAATTATTGTGTTTTTTTTTCTACACGGAGCCCGGATTAGAATCCTCAACACGCTCCTGCAACCCTGTATTCTCAAACTTTGGTGTGCATCAGAATCACCTGGAAGACTTATTTATGATAGAGATTACCTCAGAGTTCCTGATGTAGAAGGTCTGGAGCAAAGACCAAGAATTTGCATTTCTAACAAGTTCCCAAGTGATGCTGATGTTGCTAGTTGGGGGTCCACACTCTGAGAAACACTTCCTGTCAACTACTACCATGACCAAACTCAGCTGACCCATAACATAGAACCTATTTGTTATCCCTTATCTCCACGGGTCTTCAGGAAACAGGTAATAGCCTTCCAGAAGAGATGAGAACCCTTAACAGTTCATGTTACAGGTATCCTTTAAAAGCTTTCTTCTCATTGAGTCAGAAAACTCTGGTTTCCCCTTCCAAAATACTTCCACTCAATATCATGTATCCTCCATCATAAATCCTTTGTTTGGGACTTAATTCCAGCTTTTTGGACTATGCCTTTGAACTTATTGCTATGAACTATCAAATCAATCTTCAATCCCACCTTCAATCAGAAGAAAGCAAGTGAAAGGGCTCCTAATTATCCTAGAAGATAATTTGGACAGGAATCATGAGGCTTTCTAATAGGGAAAAAAATGGTACAAACAGGACCTAAATGGATTTAAAAATTTTTTTGTTGGATTTTGCTAGTTTCCATGCTATCAACAATTCCGTATGGAAAACAAACTAAATGGCTAAAACTTAGGAAAACTGAGGAAGGAAGGAAATGAGGGAGAACACTCAAAGTGAAAAGGGAATACTAAAGAAGCAATTATTGTCTTCTCTCTGATAAGCTGCAGACAGATAGTTAAGAGCTTTTAACACTGTGTGGAAGCACAGATGTGCTTTGCAGTGTACCCACCCACACAGATACCCGTACATGAAAACTAATTTAAAAAAAAAAGCTAAATACAACACATAGTTACACAACATGGGGGGACTAACACCTATTGAGTGCTCACTTTGTACCAGACTTTTAAGCAGACATAATTCGAGTGCGGGACCAGTCATAAATGATGACTAATTTGTAAAACTGATGTAAACATCCATTGAATACAATCAAATAATCATCCAGTGGTTATCACTTGGCATCCTTGGATAGCCAAATGTCATACACAATGTAATGCAGAGATGACTCAACAACATTCAACAAATATTTATTGAATACTGAGTTGGAAAACATCTGTGTACATGCCAAAAATGTCCCGCTGTCATGGAGCTTATATTCTAGCTGAAAGAGAGAGACAGAAAGCAGAAAATGTAATAAATAAATAAACCAATTGTATGGTATGCTAGGAGGTGAAGGGCGCAATGGAGTGAAGAAAACAAATAGAGTAGGACATGGGAGATCAGGAGCTCCGGGGATTGGGTGTGAGTCAGTTTTTAGTAGGTCTGGGGTAGGTCTCATTGAAAGCATAACATTTGAACCAAGATTTGAAGGAGGTTCTCTACAACTTCCACAGGTGACTGCTGCTTTCTCTGCCTTATATGCCTGTCTTAATTTACTGTTATTGCCAGGGAATCTCTGATGGCCCAGAATGCATGTTGTTTCACCACAGATCTTTGGACAGGAAGGCTGATTTAGATGCTTGCAAGAGGTGGGCAGAACCAGGTCTGGTCTTTGTCTAAGTGAAGCACTTGTTGTTTCCCCACCCAGACCTTTAGATTTTCAAACTATTCTTTCTTCAAATGGCTCACTTTTGCTGGTTTGATATATTCTTAACCATATTATTATTATAAATAATAATAGCAAACATTAAAGTTTATTGGGCATCAAGCTAAGTATCAAGCTCAGCATTAAGCACTCTATATATACCATCTCATTTAATTCTCATAACAGTTCCATGAACTAGAGAATGTTATTACTTCTATCTTACGGATAAGAAAACTGAGGCTTGGGGAGGTTAAATAGCTTACTCAAGATTAAAGAACTGGTAAGTGCCAGAGTCAGGCTGCAAGCCTGTCTGATTCCAAAGTTGATTTAGTTAATAAATTTAGTACTGAATTAAATATATTCCTTAATATAAACTTTAAACTATATAGTAAAGATCACAAATTTAATGGTTTTTTGAAGACATTGCTTTAGCTATCTTGGGTAATTTACACCCACAAAGAACATGACATTTGTTCTCACAATGCTTCTGATTGTCCAGTGCCATGGTTTCACAAATTTCATTTAGCAGCAAAATATTTTACTAAACAAAACCTTACAATAGAAGACTGGATCAGTCATAGTCCTAGCATGACAAATTCAAACTGAAGGAAAACTCAAAAAGGGTAAGTGAATAGGGTTTAATGAAGGGGCTATTCACAAAGGTCTGGGTGGGATAAAGGGAAAACTACAAGGGAAGGTGAGAGTACCTCAGGGCCAGGAATGGTGTTGCCACCCCTAGGCCTGAAGGTGCAAGAAAGAGGGCAGAGTGATGATCAAGACCTGGCAAGAACTGAAGCTATGGGAGAGGGCCACCAAATAAGAGAGGTGGGCTTTGGTAGAGGAATGAAGCCATTGCCAACAACAACCTAGAAATTAAGGAATCTGGAAAAGAAATACCCTTGCTTCTCTCTCCTTCGGCCCTCCAATCTACTGCTGCTTCTTCCATTGGCTGAACCCAATAGAAAGCTAAAGGTCAAGGAAGTTCAATTAATGCAATCCATAGAAGTCAGCCTCCCGAGACAAAAGACAAGATGAAAAGGACAGAGAATGGATTTAAACAAGCAAACAGAAGATATCCAGCACAGAACCAAATATGCAAAACTCGTCAAGCGGAATTTTTCCTGTTGAATAGGGGTGGGGTCTTCAGAGCCTGCCAACTTGATTCTCCACACTCACTTTCACTACAACAATCTCTGCGAAAACTTTGTTGAACTCTAGTGCTCTAGTCTAGTCCTTATGTTATAAATATCTCAGTCACAATCAACTACAGGTATGTGTGCATTGCCAACCACCATTTTTGAAAAACACAATATGTGTGTACACAATCATAGCACAAAAGGAGAGGTACCAGACCTGTCCCTGAAGGCTCAGAGTTCCAGGCTCTGGAAAGAATAGTCTGATAGCACATGTGATCGTACTGAGGGTCCCCTGAATCTGGGAACCTGAGGGCTGAATGAAACATCTATGAGATGTATAGGTCAGCTGAGGACCCTCTTTCCCCACTAGACAGGCTTTGGGCTTATAGGGGCTTCCATGGGGCAGCCTTGTCTGTTATTAAATGGGACTTTCCCAAAGGGATTCACAATTAAGTTTTGTGTGTCCATCAGATTAGAGAGAGGAATTTATATCCAAAGACATTGAAATATGTAGTTATTCACAAGGACAAACAAGGAAATAGATATAAGGGGAGAGGGGGCAAAAATAAAGGGTAGTTGGAAAGAGGGTCATATAGGTAAGATAAGTTATTAATCAGAAAAGTAACCACAAAGTGCCCATCACTAACCAAGTGCAAGTCTAATGCAGTTACTGGCAGCTGAGAAGCAATACCCTCCAAATATGCTCTGAAGTCTGAATCACAGCCTGGCCTCCTCCGCGGGGGCTGCTGCAGGTCCATCAGTCATTGGGCAGAGCTGCTGAGCACACCCTCTGCTGCTATGCAGAGAAGTCTGACTAGGAAAGCCAAAACTAGGATGGGGATGGGCGGGAATGGAGAGGCGCCAGCACACAGGAGCCAGACAGCCAGCCAGATATTCTGTCACTGGAGCTGCTACTTAAATCTCTTGGTTCACTGGAGAAAAAGTTTTTTTTTTTTTTTTTTTTTTTTTTGCGGGGGGAGAGAGGGATGTTGTTTTTAATCTCAGTAGCTAGAGTGGCCTTCATGGGGAACAAAAATAAGCTAAACGGAGGAGAAAGGCACAGCTGTTCTTTGCTTTCTGAAGAGTTCTCCAAATCTCTTATTTTATTATGTGTTGATGCAGCTGCCCAGCCAGAGGAACACGGCTTACCTCTGTGCCAAATGCAGGTAGAGAACAAGGTGGTGTGAGATGCAGCCTATGCTGCCCCATCTCTCTTCTGTGTTATGGCCCCTGGCCCTGCTCCCCTCCACAGCATGTCTCTCCTCTAGGTTGGCAAGCTTTATATTAATAACATAAAACCTTTGTCACACATGAGATGGAATGCAAATCATCTTACATATATTATCACATTTAATTAACAACATTATGAGGTAGGTACTATTATTACCACTGTCTATCTAGACGGGAAAATTAGGACTTGGGGAAGTCAAGAAACTTATAAACAAACAGCAGGCTGGAGTTTGAGCCCCAGCAGGCTGACTCAGTACCTGTGCACATAAACACCAGACCATCTTGTCTTGTCTATATATGGTTAGTACTTCACCTTATGCCTTTGTTTCCTCTGTCCTCTGAGTCAGCCTGGCCTCCATGTTTCTGACTCTAGACTGATCACTTAATATTTGGTTTTTAATTATTTTCTCTGTCACAGATGCTATAAAGGGAAGGCCAAATGCCGCTTGCCTGGCTTCTCTCTTCTCCTAAGAAAAGCCAGTCAGGGGGCCATCTGCAGGGCAATCAGTCCTGGTCAGGAAGAGGAAAGCGCCCAGGCCTGTCCCTTGGAGGGCCATCCCTCCTCCACATAGAATCCCATTCTCAGATCTAATGTTGAATGCAGAGCCCTGCCTTGAAATGTAGTTTAGCTGAATCCAGAAAGCCTCCCCAAACCTTGTACGTCCTCTAATGAGGAAAAGGAAGCTGGGCCATTAGCCTGAATCTATGACAGTGCCCATAAAAAGCAATGTTTGCTTTGCAAAACTGAGTCAGAGAGGAGAGGAAAATAACTCACACTTCAAAATCACCTCACCAAGTGTTTTCAGATAATTAAGAATGATTTAAATGCTCACATTTAGGAATTCAGTTGCAATTCAGAAAGCTACTAAAATTTTCCTTATTCAGAATAATACATGGGTTTAGATAAGACCTTTCAGTTTCAACTGTGTCAGTATTATAGGGGTAGATTTGAAATTGCTTTCTGTGTGTATCATGGAACTTCATGCTTCAATTCCATATCCTCTGCCTTTTTTCTTTTCCCAAGTAAAACTATCAATTTTTCTGGTATATTTTGCATATGTATATATTCATACATACATACTCATATTTAAATGAAAATTGAGAAGATTAAAAGTAAAGTTTACATGAATCATGGAAGCAGCTACTTTACCACCTTAGTTTTTCCTCCCCCTCTTTGTGGTATAGGCTTTGTGTCTTGTTCTAGAGAATAAAAAGATATATGGAATTACATATATTTCAGGATATATCTGTGGTTATTCATGGTTTTAGTCTCTAAAGCTTAACCTCAGCTTTAGAATTAATTTTATCCTTTGTATTATGGCACATTTGCTTGCAGGGAAGAGAAATCTACTTAACGTGGCTCAAGTAAAGGGGGCTTATTATAACGATACAGATCTACAAATCAAGAGGCCTCAGAAAAACCAAGCAAATCAGGAAACTTCAGCAATAGTCATTCTGTTTCCAACATAAACACTATTCAGCTACTAATGTCCTCAGTTTCTAGCTTTCTTGGTTCAAATTAGAAAGAGAGAGAGAGAGAGAGTCTGCTCAGTCAGCTCAGTCTGTACATTAGTTCTCTTTGAGTCAAATGACACCCCTGTGGTCACTGTAGCCAAGCAAAGTAAAACAGGGTTATTTGCTACCAACGGAGCCACTAGAGCTATATTGCAGATTCTCTCAATAGAATATGTGGTTAAATGTATATGAGTGCATGTTTGGGGTTGAATGGGAATGGGGCAGAAAATGATAAATATCAATTTCTAATATATCCATTAAAGAAAATCTAAGATGAAAAATTATCTTTCTTCAAGGTTTCATATTGTTTGCTCAAACCCTAGGTTTCTAGGGGGCACTTCTAGCATATGTTATTTTAAAGTTTAGTGAAAGACTGTGTGCTAAAATGTCTGTTCTCTGCCCCACAAACTGCTTCAAGACCTAGGGCTTAAGGTAGTGAAAAATAATACATAAGAGCAGCATAGAACTTAACAATAAATTATGTCCTAAGAGTTTCTTGATGTATTAGTTTGCTATGGTATCTCTAACAAATGAATACAACAATAAAGAAATGTATTTTCTCACAATTCTGGGAGCCAGAAATCAAGATCAAGGTGTGTTGCAGGGTGGCTTCTTGTGACCTTTCTCCCGACTTGCAGATGGCTGTGTTCTCCCCATATCTTCATATGGCTTTCCGCGCACGCGCGCGCGTGTGTGTGTGTGTGTGTGTGTGTGTCCTAATGTCCTTTCCTTATAAGGAAATCAGTCATATTGCATTAGGGCTAACCCTAATTTTCTTTATTTTAATTTAATTACCCCTTTAAATATTTTGAAACACGGTCACATTCTGAGGTACTAGGGGGTTAGGACTTCAACATGTGAATTTTGGGGGAGACACAATTAAGCCTAAAACAATTGGGAGGCCTATTATTTGGAACAGGAATAGAAGACGCATTTTCCAATCACTCGCCTGGACAGTAAACTCCTCCCTGGTCTTCCCACTTTACCATGTTATGGTAAATCCACCAGAAAGCCAGAGATTGATCCTTTTCTAAACCAATGACAAATCTAATTTTGTCATTTCCTGCTTAGAGGACCCCCTCAAGGTCCAAATGCCTCCCATATCACACACAGCTTCCCACAGTGAGCTCCAGGTAGTATCCCCAGTCCCCAGCCTCACCTCCAGCCACTCTTCTACCCTTCTGCACACGATGCTCCAAACCCCTGGACCACTGACTGATGGCATGTTGGGAAATTTCTGCCTTATGCATTTTATGTTCTTATTTATTCTGTATTTAAACAAATTTCATGGTACTTTAAAGACAAAAAAATTATTCTACATTACTGCTTTCTACCATTCATTACTTGTACATTTATTTCAATTACATTGTAAGTGAAATAGAATTCTGGACTCTCTAAGAACCTAGCTTATTATTTCTGATTAATTCCATAAATATTTGTTATGCACCTATCAAAAGTCATTTATGTCTTGACATTTATTATATAAAGATGAAAAGTGAAGTCTCTGATTTTAGGAAGTTCAGAGTCTAGCTGTGAAGGAAGACAAGCATGTAAACAAGTAACTGTAATATAAGGTGACAAGTGCGGGAATAGAAATATGCATGCAGCACTCTAGGAATGCAAAACAGATTAATTTTACCTGAGGTGGCTAGAAAAGCTTCAGGGAGGGTAGTTGATATTTGAGCTAGAAACTTGATAAGAGGAAGTGGGAAATTTCAGGTACACAGCAGGAAAAGCAAAGATAAGAGCCGTTTACAGATACCTGCCAGGACATTAGGGGACCCTCAGCTGCTATCCCTTTTCTCTATCTGGGAATCTGCAGCTAAGGGTTATGTAGCCTTTGCTTTTGAACTGTCAAAATGCAAAGCATCTAATTATACCCCCCTTATTCTAGACAGCAACTGTTGAGTTCAGACTCTAAGAACTCCTATCCACCTGCCTGTCTGAAAGAAACCACCTTCAGATTCCACAGTAATTTCCCTTCTGAAGGAGAGGCCTAAGGTGATTCCATGGTGCTTTTATGGTGCCTCTCTCCCTAAAGAAAAGAAAAAAATTAATCTCTGGAAAGTTACGCTGTTGCATATGATAATTTCCTTTTTGAAAGATCCCAATGTCTTGCCAGCACTCCAAACCAATTGAATCAAAATTTCTGAGAGTGGGACAAAGGCATCAGTACTTTTTAAAGCTCCCTAGATGATTTCAATGTGAAGCCAAGCTTGAAAATTACTGATTCAGAATATATGGGTATTTTCCCCCTTATTACTGATATTTAACTATCATAATTTTCAAGGTTTTTTGACAAGATTAGAATTACTTGTTGGTTCAGAGATGGAAGGGGACAGACACTGCTTGTTTTCATCTCCAACGTGAAATTTGTCTTTTCCTGTTTTGGTTTATCTCAGTCACATAGTCTATCTTGTTTCTGTCAACATTCCTTTATCTTTCTCAGGCACGTGTCCTCAGGTTAGGAGACAGGTTTTGGCCAAGTGAGTTTAAGAGAAAGGCCTGCAGCCTGCCCCACCTCTGCTTCATTGCTTCCATAGCTAGGAGGTCACCTTAACTTAAGGATGCAGACAATGGTATCTTCACCTGACTTCAGAGTATTCTTTGGAGCTAAATCTCTGCGATGCCCTCTTCGTGCAAGGACTGATCCCAGTCCCTGACCTGTAGACTGAAGTTAGACTAAATACATCTCTTTCCATTGCCTAATCCTCCCAATATGCTGCTGAGGAAGGGGATGAGAGGAATGGAGAGATCCTGACATCAGAAGAGAAGGGAAGAACTTTAGTTGGGGAGAAGGTGGACCACCAGCCCTCATCCTCAGACATGACACCTGATCTCTACTCCTCCTTTTCCCTGATTTGAAGACAGAGATTGTGAGAAGGCAGTTGGCTGGAGGGGACTAGGCAGAGGAGAGAAGAGTGAACCAATTAGCTAGTCTACTAAAAAGTTAGCATCAGTAGAGCGGGAAAAGGAAGAACTCAGAGACCCAGCAATCACAGTGACAGTGACAGGTAAATGAAGCCCAGACTAGGCAAAACTGCTGGTGCTGCAGTCCACTGAGTCAGAAAGAACTAATTTATCATCAAATTAACCAGCTAACGCCTGTGGATGAAGCATCCCACACAAGTGTTGGCTCTAGCCAGGCTGCTCATTTGTCAGCACTGAAGTGACATCATCCAAATTCACAGGCAGATGCCCAACTTGATGAAAACTCATGATTCACCCAGAATCTGTTGGGCATACACAGCTGACTGGGTGACCTCTAAGGCCCCTTCTGGTTTTTTAATTCTAAAGTTCTGTGATCCCAAGTTGCTGCCATGAACCTGGCATGTCCCAGAAAGTGCACTCAGGGGTATTTCCAAGGAGTTTTGTGTCTAGGTGCCAGTGCATTTTATGTGAAAAATGAAGGCTCACTATGCCAAGGGAAAGAAATTGCCAAAAGGCAATTTCCAACAAAGGAATGGCTGTTTCTATGTGCCCATTTTTCCTAAGCAGTCCTCTAAATGGTATACAAACACAGGGCCATTATCTCAACCAGTTTCTACCCAGGCAATGAGATATTTGTATGGCAGAGATCTTACTCTTCCTTCTTCCTGGTTGCCCATAGATAGAATTCCCTTAGGACCATACTACAGAAGCCACGCCCCACCCCTTTGCTATTAGCAATCTGTCTCCCCTTCTGCGGCTTTCTAAGCTTACTTGTTCAGAGGCACCATGGGGGGGTTGGTCTTTATTTCTGATCCCTCCAGGTAGTAAACATTGTGCCAATTCCTTTTGGACTGAGAACTAGAGTCAGCAGAGAACTCAGCGGAAATAAGGGCTCTGCAAGGATGGAAGCAGACCATGTGTTCCTCCTGCGTGCATAACAGGTCTCTGTTCTCACGCTGAGATAGCAGCTGCAGCTCCGCACCCTATCCCCACCAGACCCTTGCCTTATTCTCTTTTTTAATCACTTATTCTGGCTGTTCTTCCTCCCAACAATAATTCATAATGATTTCAGATAGAGTGCTCCTCTCATCATGGTGAAGTATAAACAGTGAATTTACAATAAATACCACTTACATAATTCTTTGACTGCATATGAAAATAAGGGGAAAGACTTAAAATATTTTCCTTCTAATCATGAGTTAGAAACATTGGTGGATTTGGATTATAATCATTTGTTTTTGTGGTTTTTACAAAAGCATTTCCCATTTCCTGGATTTTCTTATTACATTAAAATATCTGTTCATAGGAGGCTGGGATCTATGGCTCTGTATTTTTAAAAGGAGAAAACGGACAAAAAATTAGACATCATGGATGTAATTTTTAAAGTAATTTTAAAGAATGTCCTGAGTAATAATGAATCAGTACAATCTTGCAAACTTCTGCTGTGTGCATTATCTGCAATGATAGGTGATTCACTCATTCACAGAAAGATTCACTCATTCTATAAAATCCTCAAACTTTGAGGAAACATTACATTCTCTGGTAATTCCATATCTTCAAATTACCCAGGGTTGTGAGAATAAGTAAGTTGAGCTGAAAAAGGGAACACGTCAAATACTTTGCCATTCTGTGAATAAGGCACATCCCTCAGATGAGAAATCCTGGTTAAATGTGAGGACTCAATGAATTCTGGGAGTTTTAAACTAGAAAAAAAAAAAAAAGGAATTTGCTCTGAGAGGAAACAAGAAGGCCAATTAGGCCAGTTCATAGGAAATAAGATATAATCAGACCCCCAGAATCCGAGTAGCCAAAAGGAGGCTGGAATTTGAGAAGGAAGGTAGGAAAGACATCTATAAATCTGCACCATGCCTCAGACCAAAGTATATCTATTTTAATATAAGAAGTTTTGAGATTCAGATAAGTTTTGCCATATTTACTAGTAACCTTAGAACCGAAAACATATGCTATACTTTAAAGATTAGATAATTGCAAAGTCTTTATACTCTCCCTTATATATTTCCCCATTTCATTAAATTATAGAGTCACCTTATTTTTTTTAAGAAAATTGTTGTTTTTCTACCTTGTATAGTGTAATTTCTTAATTACAGCTCTTAATTTTGGAGTATATCTCCCTGCCATACATGGTCCACTCATAAGTGATTACACCTAACTGTGCTGGAAAAAAAGACTACTATGGAAAATGTTTCATATGTAAGATTGAAAATTTTTCCTGACTAATTTTAAATTAGCAAGGAAAGTCAATTTCGGTGTAAATTTTTACATTATAGGTAAACATTTAGTGATCACAGAAGATAGTAAAGGAAATTGAAGATTGGAAATGGATAATTTTTGCCCAATTAACAAAAATGGCAGGGTAGAAGAGAGAGTAGCTCTCTATGACTAGGAACTATGGACAAATAAGTATAAAATTGCATCTTGCCAAAGGTCTGAAACAGATTTATTTACAATGGTTTGTAATCACATGGAATCTGAAGCGGTGAACATCAGAAGCCAGCATAGGATGCAAAGAAAGAAAAACATCATTTCCCTTAATAAGATTAGAGATATACTAAACAGAAGGAATTCCAAAGACAAATCATGATTTCAGTAAATCTCTTAGAATGTCACAGACAGGATGATTTGGTGTGAGCTAGGATGATGGTTTAGATAGCCGACATTTCTTAAGAATATGTCACTCTCTCCCACTAGACTGTGAGCTCAATGACAGAAAAAAAAAAAAGCATGTTTTACATTTCTTTGTCTCTATGGCACCTAATTCAATGTCTGGCAAATACCAGGTAGCCAATCCATTTTTCCTGAATTCATAGGTGCTTAAACAAACCTACTCAAAATGAACTGTATAATGGACAGATCAACCATGAAAGAATACTTAAGATGTATATTTTAAATACTCTGTGCATGACCATTATTCTATTCAACACTTTAATACTAGCAAAAAATAAATAAAATTTTACAGGTAAATGTTCTAGTGAATAAGAATTGGAAAATAGAAGCCATAAAGAAGACAGTGGCTCTGTATCCTATAGTGCCCAATATAATGCTGCATACAGAATATATATGTTCAATAGCTTTTTTTTTTATGGTGGTTAGGACATCTGAATATCCTTATTTGGACCCCTACCTCATACTACATCTAAAAATAACTCAAAATGAATCAAAGATCTAAATCTACTTTTTTTTCTTGTTACAAAAGCTGTTTTTTATTATTTGAATTATAAATGTTAGAATGTACAGGTAGGGAAAGACAAGATTAAAAACATTCCTAATCCTACTTATGAGAGTTGAGCACTACTAACACTTTGGGGTGGTATATACACCCCCCCCATCCATATTGCTTTGAAATAATCTTCATTTAGTAATACATTATGAACATAATTCCTGCCAATAAATGCTCATCTAAGTTAGGTCTGAGAGAGAGAAACCGTTAATGCTCCAGAAGGGGGAAGTTTGGGAGGAACTTACCCAGCCCTCTTCCTCTACCCCAGGGTGGAGTGGGCTTATTGAAAGATGTGAGCTGAGGAAAATGGAACTGGACACGTGTGGTTCACATTCTTCTGAATTCTCTCTATTCTGGGAAGAATAGGACAGAAGGCAGGCTCTTATTTTTTGGTCCACTCTAAGCCCTATTATTACTTGGTCACATTGCTGCTACTGCCAAAATTTCAATATGAAATATTTTGCTGAGATTCTTTTGCTGTAACTTGGAATTGTTAAAGTAAAAAAGACCTAAATTTAAAAGCCTAAACTATAAAACTCTTTGAAGAAAACATAGGTATAAACCTTCATGACCTTAGATTATTGAATGATTTCTTAGATATGACACCAGATGCATGAATGATAAAAGAAAAAATAGATAAGCTGAGCATCATCAAAAATTTAAAACTTCTGTGCTTCAATGGACACTATTAATAAAGTGAAAAGACAACTCACAGAATGGGAGAAAAATATTTGCAAACTGTGTATCTGATAAGGGACTTGAATCTAGAGCCTAAAAAGAATGATTACAACTCAATGATAAAAGGACAAATAACACAATTTTTAAATGAATAAAGGATTTTAATAGATATTTCTGCACATGAAAAGATGTTCAACATTATTAGCCATCAAGAAAATGTAAATCAAAACCACAAGGAGATATCACTTCACACCACTAGAATGACTATAATCAAAAAACAGATAATAGCAAGTATCGTCAATGATGTGAAGAAACTGGAATTCTCATAAACTACCGGTGGGAATGTAAAATGGGGTAGCTGTTTGGAAAACAGTCTGGCAGGGCTTCAGACAGTTAAATAGAGCTACCATATGATCCAATTCCACTTCTAGGAATTCATATCAAGAGAAATAAAAACACATGCATACAAACACATCAACACAAAAACTTGCACCTGAGTATTTATAGCACATTATTTATAATAGTCAAAACATGTAAATAACTCAAATGCCTATTAACTGATAAATGGATAAATAATATTCATATAATGGAATATTATTTAGCAATAAAAAGAAATGAATAACTCATATATGCTTCAACACTGATGAACTTTGAAAACATTATGCTACATGACAAAAGTCAGTCACAAATGACCACATGTTGTATGATTTCATGTATATAAAGTGTCCAAAATAGGCACAGAAAGTAAATTAGTGGTTGCCTAGGAATGAAGGTGATGAGGGGACTGAGAGGTGACAGCTAAGGGGAGCAGAGTTTTTCTTGGTAGTAATGAAGATGTTCTAAATGAATAGTGGTGATGGATGTACAACTCTGAATATAATAAAAGTTACTGAATTGTATACTTTAAATGGGTGAATTTTATGTTACATGGATTATGTCTTAATAAAGCTGTTTTTTTTAACCTATAGTGGGCTTCCTGTTTATGGTAGACATGGCTACCTAAATTCCCCTTCAAGGAAGGACTTGCTGCCTAGCTGTTAGGAGTGCAGTCAGCAGGTAGCCTACAGCTGTCAGCTCCTTCAGAGTCAGCCACAGCTCCAGGGAGCTGCCTTGGCCAAATCTACACCATTCCCAGGGCAGCCCACATCCCAGTGAGGCAGGGAACAAAAGCCCAGCCATTTCTCTGGATGAAAGACAATTCTTACCAGCTCTGCTCACTCCAGAGCTCCCTGCTGGGTTGGCTGAGGCTTTGACAGACCTGCATCATGCTTTGACTGCTTCCTCTGCTCAATCCTGCTTCCTCCCGCTGCCTTTCACAACACTGATCTCTAACCTTGAACCCCAAACTATCTCAGCATCCGCTTCCAGTGAACACAAGCTATAACAATATTAAACATGGCAGATTAGGCATGCTCATATCTTCCATATCTCAGAAACCCACTAAAATGAAGGTAAAGTAATTTTGTTTATTTTTTAACTCATTAAAGAGAACAAGAAAAGAAGTTCAGTTGATGAAGGAATAAAAATTATCTTAGCAGAAAGAAGAAAGCAACAGAAATGCCTTGCAAAGTGTGATATCAATGAGGATTTGAGTGATTTCTTCCATAGAATCTCCGAAAGACTCAGGATTTGGATGGACAGGGGTTCCTGGAGACAGATGCAAGAGCAAAGCTGAAAACAGGGCTTGGTTAAAATCAATATATCAATAGGGTACAACCCCAGGTCTTTTCCTTTATCCTTGCATAAGACTAGAGATTTATTTCTTGGAAAAATGGACCAGGGAGACTCTAAATTTGAGAATACTAGAATCGCTAGAACAGGGGTGAGGCTTGGAGCTAAAAATAGGGGGACTAAATGAAAGCCTATGTGTTCAAGAGGAAGACTCCTCCCCTCTAGTCTGCTTCCTCCCATTAGCTCTCTCTCACAAAGGCCAGCTTGTTGCCCCCATATAGCAGATGGGAGATTTTTCTCTGGAAAAACTGAATGACTCCTGAGAAAACATAACTACCCAACACTGGCACTTGCAAGTCTTCAACAACAAAAAAAACTATTTGGCTGCTCTATCATCCTAACTGCCGCCACACCCAGAGCTTCCAGCTTTGTAGTTCCTCACTCTTAAATATAAATGGGCAGGTGAGGACTACCAGACAGTTGAAGAAAACCTTCAATAAGAAAAATAGACCAAAACAAAGAAAGGCATAGAACAAACAGTGAAAACACAAAGAGAAGGAAAAAAATGCTTCCAATAACAAAATACTCATAACTTGATATCTTTGGGGAGAAAAAAGAGAAGCAGTTGCATCCCTGAAGCAAAAATGGGGAAGGAAGAATAACTAGAGATGAAGAACTTTTGGTAAATAAAAATTTGATAATAAAAATGCAATAGAAGGCTTGGAATACCAAGGATGGAAAGTTCTTAAATATAGAATAAAAGCCAAAGAGATGGATAACAGAAGGGGAGGGATAAGAGAAAGACCCAGGAACCCAAGACTTGTAGAAAATAATAGCATAAGATAAAGAGAAATTTAAAAAAAAAAAAACAGAGAAACAAAAACAAATCACAAAGGAAAGGATTGAAAGTCACTGGACTTTTGAATAGCAACACTTGCTGTAAGATAGTGGAGAAATACTTTCAAAACTCTAAGAGAAAATTTAACATTAAATTCTATACATAGTCAAATTATCAATCATTTATAAGAATAAAGGCTTTTTAGGCATTCGAGGACTCAAAACTGATTCTTTAACATATGCTTTCTTAGAATACTGCTGAAGGATGTGCTCCACTAAAAGCAATAGAGTAATAGGAGGATACAGAATTCAGGAAACATGAACTCCATCCAGCAAAGGAGAGTAGTGAAGGATGACAGCAGAGCAATTGGTCCAGATTGAGGCAGGAGATGGGGCAGAGAGAGGTTCTCAAAGACCAAAAAAAAAAAAAAGGAACTGATAAATTATCTGATACATTTAACCATATGGAAATAGCATTGTGAGGCATTTTTAAAATATATGGAGTATAAGAAACAAAATTGTTAAAAAATGGAGGCAATTTTTTACTCCAAAAAAGCAAAAAGTTGTACAGGAAGGAAACATAATCAAGGTACATTACCTAATGGGGCAATAAACAGTATCTATATTATGATTATAACATAAGCATTGAATATTAATTTACCTTAGAAATTATATAACTGTTGAAAAGATGCAGTAGAGAGAGGAAGAAGAGGTGGAGCTATATAAAACATAAATATTCATCTACAAAAATAAGATAATAGATGATGTTAAAAATGATAAAGTAATAAATAGTATAAGCATATCATTTTGAAATATGGAGAACGCAAAGAATGAAAAAAAATAAGAAAAATGGACATGGTTACCTCTGAGGAGCAGTACCTGAAGATGGGGAGGGAAAGGTAGATGGGGAACTGCTAAATTTGTCATGTTTTTATCAACTATACGCATATGTTACTCACAAAAATAAAATGTAATGAAAAATGAAACCTGTAAAAAAATAAAATTTCCTAGCATAGTCAACTTAAACTACTTTAAATTGTGGAAATGGGAAAGACCATGAGCTGCAGAGTCAGACAGAAGTGCCACTTATTAGGCCATGTGACTTTGGTCAACCATCTTAACCCCTTTACCATATCATCTAAAACAGGATTCATAACACCTTTCTCAGAGGATTATATGAACTAAAGTAATCTAGTGTACTGTGATAAGTGATTTATTTGCGGTAGTTTCAGAATGAGTGCTGATAAAGATTATTGGCTCTAAGCCCACCTAAATTATCACTTGACACCCTTTACTCTTCTTCCTGCAAGCCACTCCTCTGTAATGCCACCTGATTCCTTTATTCAGAATTCTCTTGACTCTCTTGTATGTACCATCATATATAATTTTGGGCACCTAGTTAAAGGTTGCTTTTCTTAGGTGATCTCGTTCATTATCTTCCAGACTAGTGGTAATGGTTCCTGAGAGCAGGTACAGGTTTCTATTTGTTTTGTATATTCCTACAACTTCTGATGCATACCCTACTCAAGAAATCTTTGATAACTGTGTTATTTGCTTCTTACTGATACATGGAGTCAGGTATCCCACCACATAGAGGAAAAAAAAAATAGAAACTTAGGCATCTCCTTGGAAGAAATCCATCATTGGCCAGGCACGCTGGCTCACGCCTGTAATCCCAGCACTTTGGGAGGCTGAGGCAGGCGAATCAAGAGGTCAAGAAATCGAGACCATCCTGGCCAACATGGTGAAACCCCGCCTCTACTAAAAAAAATTACAAAAATTAGCTTGGCGTGGTGGCACGTGCATGTAGTCCCAGCTACTCAGGAGGCTGAGGCAGGAGAATTGCTTGAACCCAGAAGTAGGAGGTTGCAGTGAGCTGAGATCGCGCCACTGCACTCCCGCCTGGCGACAGAGTGAGACTCCATCTCAAAAAAAAAAAAAAAAAAAAAAGTAAAAGAAAAGAAAAGGAAAGAAAAAAATATCCATTATCAATAACCCATGAGAATACACGGTGGGCCCCTTCAAAAGAGAAAATAATGGCTGAGAGAGTAGGAAGGAGAGAACCAAGGGAGGTATATGGGGACAGCAGGGATTTGGCTGGAGACATTACATAAATGGGAGGGAAGGTGTATAATCAGTAAATGGCCACAGCTCTCCTTCAAGTGACGTTCAGGTACTGCAATAGCACTAGGGCTGGCAGCATCACCATGACTATTATTATTTAGATCTTTAAAATGTGCCCATCACTGAGCCCTGAGGCACATGTACAGAAACAAACACATGTTTCAATATTTACTCTCTAGGGACTGAATCCATGGTGGTACAGTTGTCGATCCTCCCACCGCCATCAGGCAAATGCTTGACTAAACAGATGGCTTTGCCAGAAATTTTTCATTTGGGTAGGAGGGTGAAGGCTTACCCAGCCAGAATTCTTAATCCAATATGTCTTCCTGCTTATATTCTCTGAATAGTCCAGCTTAGAAGTACCATGAGGAATGGGAAGAGCAATAGATGGGAGAGTGAGGGAGAAGAGGGGTAGAAGCTCTAATATAGCATTAAAAAACATACAGAACTTAGAGACCAAAAATCTAGTTTCAAGCTGTTTCTTGCCGCTAAATTGCTATGTGACTGTGCAAACATCTCTTCACCTCTTTTAGTCTCAGTTTCCTCATCTGTGAAATTTAATAATAGTGTTTCTCATGCCTACTTCTCATGCTTTTATAAGAATCAAGCAAGTTTAATTTGTCTCAAAATACTTTGTAAAGTAAAATATTATATCCTCATCTTATGATACTCTAGTGTCTGGGACAACTCTTTTAAGTCTTAGTTTTTCCAAAGGAGAAAAATAAACACTCTTTTATTTTAAAGACTGTAAAAAATATACATAACAAAATATTTGTTACTAAATATACTTTAAATTTCACAATTATTCAAGATTAAGATGGAGAGAAATAATTTATTTTCAAGAATTCAGAAGGATGTTCTGTACCAAAATACTTTTCAAAAAGAAATAGAATTTGGGTATAAGTTATGTAAGAGAATTTTACTCATACTTCAATATTCTTATAACTTGGTTATTTAAACTACTGAAAGGTCTGTATGTGAACATTTTCATTATATAATTAATTTAAAATCATCCTCCAATTGAACCTAGAAATACAAAGAATGAGTTGAGTGAATAAAAACAGTTAATGAAAGACTAGGTAATATTGGGAACAGGCAGGAAAGAGGAAATCTTTTATGGAAGAAAAGATGAGGAATGGAGAAAATTTTATTGTAGGAATTTTTTTTAAAGAAGAGGCTTTGGGGGGCATTTATTCTACAATTTGCACTCCCAGTTCTAAAATCATTATTTAATAGCTAGAGTTTAAAAACTGAAAATAGTTTAAGTCACTTCTGTGCCCTGAAACTGAACTGAAACCAGTTTTAAAAGTAATAGATAACATACATCACATATTACCCAGGAATGACACAATGTATTGGCCTGGGCTCCAGTCACCATCTGTGTAACCTTGAGTGGGCTCTGCCTCCTCATCTATAAAAATGAGGAATTGGTACCAGGTGGTCACTGGAGTTTCTTCTACTTAGGACTTCAGGCCATGAGGCTTCTTTTGACTTCTGAGAGTTTGTTTTCTAACTTAGTGGAAAACAATAACAATGCGTATGTTAATACTTCATTTCTGGATGGAAAATGCATCAAAATGTTTCTGAAGGTTTGGCATTGTGTAGATAAAAGTCAATTGACCTTTTCATTTAGAAGTAATTGGGCTGGGTGCGGTGGCTCACGCCTGTAATCCCAGAACTTTGAGAGGCCAAGGGGCGGGGGGAGGTGGATCACAAGGTCAGGAGTTCGAGACTAGCCTGGCCAACATAGTGAAACCCCATCTCTACTAAAAATACAAAAATTAGCCAGGCATGGTGGTGCACACCTGTAGTCCCAGCTACCCGGGAGGCTGAGGAAAGAGAATAGCTTGAACCCAGGAGGCAGAGGTTGTGGTGAGCGGAGATCTGCCACTGCACTCCAGCCTGGGTGATAGAATGAGACTTGACCTCAAAAAAAAAAAAAAGTAATTTTGTAGACATTCCAGAAACAAGTAAAAGCCATCACGAATAATGCTATACATTAATGATATCCGGGATTGAAATGTTTGATTCTTTTCTTTTTATTCTGTGGCTTAATTCACTGACCCAAGCAGGTGATGTTTCAACCACTTGAGAGAGTCTTGTCAGAAAGTAATTTTTAGTCTTATTTCCTGCAGACAGACCATCAACCTTTTCTGAGAACAATAGCAATTCACTTACATAAATACTGTTTGAAATAGATAAAAGATAAAATTTGGTCATAGTATTGAAAGAATAAGTAAGTTTAGTATTTCTGTTTATATTAAAGAATAAATGGAGCACTTGTATCTTGTTTAAATGTTTTTATTTGAATATTACAACCAATTTTTTATTGAGTATATTTCCCAAAATAGTCATTGAAAGTTAAATGACAAGAAAATGTAAAACATTTTCAGAACAGTTTGCAAGTGGTGATTTATAAAGTGCCCCACTGAAGATGGAGGCTTCCTTTCCTTCTTTTTATCCTTTCCTCCCCTTTTTTTAAAATTTCTCCTTCCTCCTTCAGCCATGTCTTTCTGACAAAGCCCCCAGACTGTGTAGAACTTGGCTATTCTGTGATGGGTAGGCCAAGGGAAAATGGCTATTCTCAAGAGAAGGTCTAGTAGCTACCAGCAGAAGTGAGTGGTAAGGGCTGACACTGACTGATGGGACCTCTCCCTCTCTCTCTCTCCTTTCTTCCTTCCCTTCTTTTTCTTTCTTTCTTGCATTCCTTACTTTTTCTTTTTTTTTTCTTTTAACTTTCTTTGTTCTCTTTTCATTTGGTTTTAACATTTTTAAATCACTACTTCTGTTCCTCTTTTAAATTTTCAAGATACTGACCAAAAAAAGAATGAAAACAGGGAGAAAAGAGAGTATTCATTTGATGATTGGGGAAGTAGGGCATCCTTAGTCCCAAAGAAGTTTTTAAAAAAATTAATATATAATATATACCTACAGTATATTTATATTATATGTACAGAAAAGTACGTATAATATAAGCATTCAACTTGATGAATTTTCAAAAACATAATACAGTCACTTAACCAATGCTCAGATCAAGAAAAATATTGCCAGCATTCCAGAAGCCCTAAATCCCAATGACCCCCTGTAGTCCCTACTTTCCTCTTCAAGGGTGACTGCAATTCTTATTTCTGACAGCATAAATTTGCCTGTATTCATGTTTTATAGAACTTGAATCATTTTGTATGTATTCTGTGTGACTTTACTTTTGCTTAATGGTACATTTATGCATTTGTTTCATATTGTCATGTACAATTTTATATCTTAATTCTCCATGGCAGGATAGTATTTTATGGTGTGAATATACCACAATTTATTTTTCCTTTCTGTTGTTATTCGACATTTGGGTAGTTTCTAATTTGAGGTTACTATGAATTGTGCTTCTATATACATTCAAATACCTTCTTTTTGATGAATATATATATGTGCCTTCTGTCGAGTATATACCTGGAAGTAGAATTGCTGAGTCATATGATATTTGCATATTTGACTTTTAGTCCTGCCAAGCACTTTTGAAGTTCTAATGATTTCACACTCCAGGGGGAGAAACTTGTTCTTGTTTTTTGCTGTCCACACAATAACTTTCCTCTTCTTCTCCTTTTCTAGTTACACTTACCCACGTGCATATATGTGTTATTCTTTAACGTGAGGCTTGTTTTGCCTAGATTTAATAAAGTCAAATAGTCTAAGCATAATGGAGCCTTATTCTGTGAATAGAGACTGAGAACGTTGCATAAAAGCCTTCACTATCCTCCTTCTCAAAACCATGACAGAAAATTCTTAGTTATCTTCGGTGATCTTCTCAGGGAGTTTAACCTTACATTTAACTTTTCTAAACTCATGCAGAGTTCCATTCCCTGGTCATACTAGGCTGTCCTTCTCCCCATTCACCTCTTGACCTCACATCTGCTTTTTTAACTATACTGAAAGAAAAACAAAAATCCACAGGTGGTTATCCTTTCAGCTGTATACAGGAGTTACAGAAAATATTTAAGGGCAGAAAAAAAAAATCTTTCAAGGGACAGACTAAGAGGATATGAATGCCTTACATCAGCTTTTCAAACCAACTGAACCAAAAGGCACCATTAATCTTTAGTCTGTTAATCCAATAATTTATCAGGTTCGATGGTCTCAGGAGGGATTTCAGCAAAAAACTAGGTCAAGGGCCTGTCATGCTTGATTGCTGATTAGCCTTGAAACCTATCTAGGGTTTATGGGATTATAAGACTCCAGATGACTCCAGCCAGGGTGCACTTTTACTCCCAAATACAGTTAATAAAAATGTTTCTAACATATGTATTTCTACAGGCTTCCCATTCAGCCTATTTCAACTCAAAGTTTTGAGTATTCATCATCAATGAAAAGCCTTAAAACACTCTTCATCACATAGTTTTATTGAGTTAATGCTGGCATATTTGTCTCCTATCAAGGTTAGATCCAATTGAAGCATTCATTTACCAAATATTTATTGAACACCTACAACATGCCATGCATATTTAAATACTTATTTAAATCAGCATCCTCTTTATTTAATATCAAACTAACCAAACATAGTTCTTGTGTCCTTTTAGAATTTATAGCCTAATGAGTATACGAAAAATAAAATAGATATGAGGCCGGGTGCAGTGGCTCAGGGCTGTAATCTCAGCACTTTGGGAGGCCAAGGTGGGTGGATCACCTGAGGTCAGGAGGTTGAGACCAGCCTGGCCAACATGGCAAAACCCCATCTCTACTAAAAATTAAAAAATTAGCCAGGTATGGTGGCGCACACCTGTAATCCCAGCACTTTGAGAGGCTGAGGCGGTGGATCACCCGAGGTCAGGAGTTCGAGACCAGCCTGGCCAACATGGCGAAAACTTGTTTCTACTAAAAATTAGCTGGGCATGGTGGTGCATGCCTGTAATCCCAGCTACTTTGGAGACTGAGACAGGAGAATTGCCTGAACCCAGGAGGCGGAGGTTGCAATTAGCCAAGATTGTGCTACTGCACTCCAGCCTGAGGGACAGAGCAAGACTCTGTCTCAAATAAATAAATAAATAAAATAGATATGAATAAAAATAAGATATGAATAAGTATACAAGTACCATTAGTGATTAGGCAGAAAACAAACAGAATAACGTATCTGAGCATAGTGGAACAAGAAGGAAGAAACATCTTAGAGGGTCAAGGAGTCTGGAAGGTGATGTTTAAGTTGAAATATAAATGATGAGAAGAAACCAGCTATGTAAAACGCAGAGGGGAAAGTGTTAGGAGGAAACAGCATATGCATAGGCCAGTGCAGTCTGTGAATCGTGAGTTAACTTTTCACATTTTAATTTATTTTTTCATTGACAAGTCACAATTGCATGTATTTATGGTATACAATATGATGCTTTGATGCACGTATACATTGTGGAATGGCTAAATCAAGCTGTTTGAATATGCATTACCTTACAGATGTATCTTTTGTGGTCAAAACACAAAATTTAGCAATTTTCAAGTGTACAATGTATTATTATTAACCACAGTCACCATGATATACAATAGATCTCTTTAACTTATTCCTTCTCTCTAACTGAAATTTTGTGTCCTTTGACTAAAATCTCCCCAATCCCCCAAATCCTAGCCTCTGGTAATCACCATTTTTCTCTGTTTCTGAGTTTGATTTTCTTTTAATTCCACATAATAAGTGAGATCGCAAACTATTTGTCTTTACATGCCTAGGTTATTTCACTCAACATAATGTCCTTCAGGTTCATCCATGTTGTTGCAAATGACAGAATTTTTTCTTTTTTAAGGCTGAATAATATTCCTTTGTGTATATATACCATATTTTCTTTATCCATTCATCTGTTCATAGATACTTGGGTCAACTTTTAAAGAAATGCATATTTCCTTTCAGTTTATTTTGAATATACAGTACACGGTTTGGATTTTTCAACTCTTTTAAAGAGGAGCAAGAACAGTCAGCTTGTTTGTAGTAAATCTTGTACAGATGTGAGAAGGTCCTGATTGCTCTATGCCAAGAATTTGTTTGACTACAGGTCTGTGGATTAGAACGGGAAAATGGGGATAGGGACAGGAGTCCAAATTAAGTGTCAGAAAATAATCAGTTTAATGGCATGCTCAGGCAGTTGACAAAGGCATAGCATAAACACAGGCAAGGTCCAAAGTACTAGTCAGGAACCAGAACTGAAGTCAAATAATATTGGCAAGGTAGCATTCTAAAACATCTAAAAGGCTGTTGTCAAGCCAACAGAGTTTCCTGATTCCTCACCTCCTTTGAGGAGGAAAAACAGTGGCTTGGGCAGTTTGGAGTAGGAAAAGGACCAGAGTAGAAATTCAGAGTCAGAATAGCCAAGAAGTGAGAGGGTGATAAGGAGGCTGGGTCAGATACTGGACAGCAACCAAGAAGTGAGGTCACAAAGCCAGAGAAGCAGGGAGAAACCATAAGGTAACAGATACAAGGCACCCAGAAGAATGTAGAACTTTCATAACAGAAAGAAAAGATTTTAGGCATCTATTTTACCATCTCAGAGGAAGATAGCTGCAGTTGTGTAAAACAGGTACCAGGATTTTAAAAACCTTAATCTTTGTAACTTCTTTATGTTTATAATTTATACTATAAGTATAGTAAAAATTGTTTTGGCAAAACAACTTGAAGGAAAATCCTTAAAACCAGTAGAGCCTGTGGGCTTCCCTTCAAAAGGCCATGTGACTGGGAGCTAAGGAGTCTGTGTCCCACTCTGTGGTCAAGTTGGGGCAGATCTCCAGGGATGGCAACAGCTACAAAAGAAAAGCAGAATACAGAGAGCTGCTCTAGAAACCTTGAGGCTGAGAGTAAGGGCCTGTGTGAGGTCCTCTAAAGTTTGGTGGCCAGATATGAGGTTGATTCCACTTATGCTAAGTCCCCAGGGAGGTTCAGTTGGAAGCTCAGGGATGCAGGAATGAGGGTGAAAGGAAGCATAATTGGGCCAGGCAGATGCAGTGGTGACCACATTAGAATGAGGTGGCTTACTTAGACCTGAGCTGGGATACCCCTGCAAGAAGAGAGTCTCCAGGTCTTCTAGGACTAGGACCCTGCTACTTAAAGGGTGATCCATGGATCAGCAGCATCAGCTTCACCTGGGATGCTTTTAGAAGTTCAGAATCCCAGGTCGCAGCCCAGACCTACTAAATTAGAATCTACATTTTAAATGACCCCCAGGTGATTCCTATGCAACTTAAATTTGTGAAGCACTGGTCTAGGATACCCCCGGAGAATCCAAAAGAGTGGGCCAGGTATGGTGGCTCATGCCTGTAATCCCAGCACTTTGGGAGGACGAGGTGGGAGGATCACTTGAACCCAGGAGTTTGAGACCAGCTCTGGGGCAACGCGGATAAACCCCATCTCTACAAAAGATAAAAAATTAGCCAGGCATGGTGGCATGTGTCTATAGTCTCAACTACTCAGGAGGCTGAGGTAGGAGGATCACCTGAAACAGGGGAGGTTGAGACCACAGTGAGTTGTCATTGCACCACTGCACTCCAACCTGGGTGACAGAGTGAGACCCTGTCTCAAAAAAACAAAACAAAAACAAAAGAGCATTACAGACATATAAAGAAAGGATGGAAGGAAGAGGCTAATCTGTGGAATTGGAGGCAGATGATGAGTTGCAGTTTGAAGCCAGACTCAGAAAAATTCGACGGTAGAGAGCCAGCCAGCACTAGTGCAGGTAGCAGGACCACACCTCTTGGGGAGAGAACAGATTCCTTTTCTTGGCCTGCAAAGAAGGTGACAGTGAGAGAGAGAAAAGGCAATTCTAAAGACCCTCTCAGAAGAAAGTCCCAAAGACAGTGTTGAGGCCTAGAGGTAGGTAAACAAACATTCATTAGAACAAACTATAGAACTTTGTGCCATGAGGTATACATGGAACAACAAACAGTAAAAATTAACTTGGAGATTTTGAGTAAGGAAAAAGAGAGGATACATGTGTCCTCATCATATCCCTCTTCCTATCTAATCCCATAGGCATTATTCTCATGGAGGCCCTAGTTGCTTCATTGTCAGCATCATGGTATCTTCCCAATTGAACTTTCTTCCTCTGGCATCCAGTTCTTCCTGGCACAACTTTCAAAACAACCTTTTCATCATGTCATTCTTTTGCTTAAGAATCCAATTCCTTCCAACTTCATATTGGCTCAAAAAGAAAGAAATTGATAGATATGCATGTGTATTAATATTTCCACATTTCTTGGTACTAGAGTACCAAGAAATACTACTACAAACCAAATTGGTAGCCTTATCATTTTTCTCTCAACTCTTGATCATTCTCATTTTTGTTCATTTGTTTATGATTTTTCCCTTTGCCTGGGTGGCTCTCAGCATCTCCCCCATCAATTCATGACCACCACTCAGTTAAAATCAGATTCAGTATTCACTTGCTACTCTCCTTGGTGATCACCTTGGTTTTCATTTCCATGTACTATCAGATAGATAGACAGATAGATACAAATACATCTACATACATCTATGTACATATACCTATATATAAAATTCTTTTTACATATTATTTATTTTCCAAACTAATTTATATAAAATAAAGGGACTCTACTACTTTTTCATCAGTGTAGAGTGGAATTATTCATAAACTAGATTATTATTAAGGCATTTTAAAGAAATAAATAATTTTACTTTGAAATGTTGGCATTGCCACTTGTTTTTCTTCATGGATAGATAACTTGAATCATTCATTCATAGATTTATTTATTCAAAAATCAACTATTTATGGAATACCTACTTTGTCTTGAGCCCTGATGTGAGAGCTGGAGATCCCAAGATGAATAAGACACCGTCGCTACTCTCAAGGAACTCACAGCCCAGTGAAAGACACAGAGAAGAAACTAGACAGTTGTAGTTGTATCAGACACCTGTAGTTGCCATCTACCTTTCCAGAAATTGTCCTTTCCCACCTACACAGTCACAAAAGGCAATATGATTCTACCCTCACTTTCCCAAGATGATTGGTCCCTCAGGAAGCAGTTGACTCATGAGTATTCTACATTGTTATTGAAGTGATGATTCTTCTGACCAGTGAAGCAGGGTCATATTTCCTGCATTTAGAATTTTATTTGGTTCCCAGCAAGACAATAGCAGTTAGAGTGAATAACTCAGTAATGGGAGCACTGATTGAAAAAGAAAGATGAGAAGAACCTCTGGGACTTGAACAAGATTTAATCTCTATTGTTCTCAAAGAAAACTGGTCTGCATAAAAGAGCTCAAACTGAATTGTTCTAAACTGGAGGGGAAGGGGACTTCTAAACAGCCTATTATTTGAGATTATCCAGATTATATAACTTAATTCCAGATACTTAGGAATCATTTTATTTTCAATAAATTCTATCTTTTCATCTTCCCTGATGTTTTGTGGTGAGTGGCTCTTATCTGGTTTTCAATTATAGATTTCCTCACAATCCCATATTCTTTGTGCTTTTCACTTCTATGTTCTTCAGTGAAACTTGATTTCTGTTGGTTCCTTATTGGAACATATATTTTAGCAGTGCTGTGGTTTATGACATTCTGATATTGTAGGTCCAGGAACACATCTATTTGGTAAGATGAAGTGAAAGGAAAACATTGATAGTAACCTTGATAAGTGAGAAAATAAAACAGGATGAAAGTCAAAGAAAACTCCAGGTAGTTGATTTATAAACAGAAACACAAACATAAATATAAGATAGGGAGTGATACTGTGCAATTGTGTAGAGCTTTGCAGCTAATGATTTGGGGAAAAGAAGAAGAGAAAGATGAATTGCATTTAAACTGCTTATGTATATTAAAAATTTTTGAGAGGCTAATGCTTATCAGTTGTTCTCCATGGAAAAGAGAGAGAAGAAAGGAAGAAAAGAGAAGAGAAGAAAAAGGAGAGAGAGAGATAAAGAGAGAAATGAAAGAAAGAAAGAAAGAAAGAAAGAAAGAAAGAAAGAAAGAAAGAGAAAGAAAGAAAGAAAGAAAGAAGAAGGAAGGAGAGAGAAAAGAAGAGGAGAAAAGAAGAGAAGAGGGGAGGGGAGGGGAGGAGAGCGGAGGGACGGGGAGAAGACAAAAGAGAGGAGAGGAGAGGAAAAAAGAGAACAGAAGATTGGCTTAGAATAAAGAATATTATATTTTGTTGTACACCAGCAAGGCTTTCTTTACTGTTGAGGGATAAAATACTGAAATGGGCTTCTATGGGAGACTGTGGAATCTCTATTCAGTCAATAAGATTTATTGCTATCCTTGGGGAATCATAAAGAGAATAAAAAACTCCTTGAGCTGAAGGATTTAGTTCTTTGCTTACTTAAAGAAAGGTAGCTGAACAATCTTTCAGTATCCTCTCTGGCCCTTGATTACCTTCAAAAACATGATTCGGGGAAATTCAGGAATCTAGTAAGGGAATTGTTTAGAACTGTATGTTGAATTGGTCCCATGCTATATCCTGAGTCTATAAAAAAAGAGATATCTGTATTTTATATAGGTATTTCTCCTAATTTTTAGTTTGACCCTTCACAGTTTGTTGACATCCACGACTAGCTATGGTGTGGGGAAAATGGCTTCTATTTTATCGTAGCATTACTCTCACTCACCACTTACGACAGCTAACATTTTCTGTCACTAAGTGAGGAATGAACACTAAAGATAAAAATAATGTACCCTAATTAGCATAACAATATAATCAACATGGTCTGTCTTATAGTTTCTAAAACATGCCCTTGAATCCTATATTCTATCCCAGGACCTAAACTCCTTTTCCTCTTCTACCTCTCCCAAATTATATGCTAATGATAGCACAAAAGTATCCTGAATTCTAGAAATGTGAGCCCTATGCTTGCATTCCTTGACCCAGAGGCCATAGGGAAAAGAATTCTAAAGAATACAAAAGGAAAGACATCTAGCAGAATGAGGTGACTTACCTACCAAGGCAAGAGTGACATACATGCTAATAGCAAAACCCCCATTTCAAGTTCTAGATACGTGCTGCCCAATAGAAAAATCAAGTGAGTTATGTGCATATTTAAATTTTCTTGGTAGCAGGCCAGGTGCACTGGCTCATGCCTATAATTCCAACACTCGGGGAGGCTGAGGCAGGAGGATTGCTTGAGACCAGGAGTTCAAGACTAGCCTGAGCAGCATAGTGAGAACCTATCTGTACAAGAAATTTTAAAAATAAAATTTTCTGGAAGCTACATTAAAAACTTAAAAAACAAAATTAAATTAAAAATATATTTTATTTAATCCAACATGCACACAATATTCCCATTACAACATGAAATAAATATGAAAACATTAAAGAGGTATTTACATTCTTAGAAATCCACTTTGTATTTCCCACTTACAGAATATCTCAACTTGGACTAGCCACATTTTAAGAACTCAATAGCCACACATGACTAATGGCTACTATATTGGACAAAGAAGTTCTAGGTCATGTATCTGGCTTCATGTATCTTGCAAGGAAAGGCAAGAGCAAAGCAACAAAGGCTGGGCCATTGGGATGGAGTCGAGACTCCTCTTAGGGGCCTGCTTTTCCCCTACCCCCGCACGCCCTCCCCAGGGAGCCAGGAAATAAAAGAAAATCTTGAGTTCCTTCAAGGGAAATTCCAGGTACTTAGCTAGTCCTGAAAAGTAAATAAGCAACTTGATAAGCAAGAGGTAATAGTAGCTTAAAACAATAGCCAGGGAAGTTAGAGCCCTGAGATGTTTGGTTCCATATAGAAACTAGCGATAACATCTTAACATATGTCCCTGAGTTGTTTTTTAGAGACCTGGACCCCTGTCAAACAAATCCACTGGCACATAGACCTCAGCTAGGGAGAAACTGAGGACTGAACTCTGACAGTCATTCTTTGTTCTAAAGTTTTTCCTGAGGGGCGCAAACTTGTCCAACCCACCTTATTTTGTTGTTGTTGTTCTGTTTTGTTTTGTATTAGGCTTTTAGCAGCCTGAAGCGACCGTTTTCAGTTTCTGTCTCTAGTGATAAGTGAAAAAGAGGGATGAGGAAAGGGCTTTACTGGTTCAACCAGAAACAGAAACTAGGAACCCATGGCTGTATTCTCTCCCTTGGACACCCCTGTGAGGAAGCCATGCCCATGAGCCAGACCTACGCTTTCTTTCTGCTGATCCCGGATTTTTAAACACAGCTTCTCTTCTTTAAACAATTGCAAATCAGGAAACTTTTAACTCTACCTATGACTTATAAACCACCCGCTTCAAGATATCCACCTTTTTAGACCAAAGCAATGTATAACCTCCATTTGTAATTTGCCTGTAACTTCCTGTTTTCCTGAAATTTATCCCTGCTTTTTAAAACCCTTGCTTGTATCAGAGAGGTTGGATCTTAAGCATGAGCTGCCCAATTCTCCTTTCTTGGCATCTTGCAAATAAACACCCTCCCTTCTCCCACTGAAAACCCTCAGTGTGAATGTTTGGCCTTACTGTGCTGGGTGAGTGGATCCCAGTTTGATTCAGTAACACTATTTCTGTGGTGTTTGCTCCAGCACTTCTTTAATACTTTTCCCTCATACCATACAGAAAAAAAAAAAATACTTTTTAGAGGGCACTGGACAGGGCATTGTCAAGTCTTTTCTTGAATGACATCTCCTTAGTCCCACCTGACCACTCTATATAAAATTGGAAATCTGCCCCATCCCACACTTCTGATTCCCTCTTACATTGTGCACAATATTCCATAGCACTATAACCTTCTGATAAATTATTTTACTTATTTATTATTGTGTTTACTGTTCATTGTTTGTCTTCCTACCCTATAGAATGTGAGGGAGGAGGAGGGCAGGCATGTGTGTCTGTTTCAGTAGCTAAGGCATCCCAAGTAACTAGACCATTGCCTTGCATGTAGTAGGTATGTAGTAGGTACTGCAACAATAGCCGATGAATGTTAGAGGAGTGAGTAGAATTTTAAAGCTCAGAATTTACAGATAAAAAACACTGGAGCCCAGATAAGTAAAGTGACTTACCAAACAAGCTGGTCAACAGCAGAGCCAGTCGGAAGACTTAAGCTTTTGAACCATTCATCTGAAGCTTTTTACACTATTGGATGTATAAAAAGAAAGAAAGGTAGAGAAATAATTCCATTATTAGATATTAAATATAAATTATGATATTGAAAATACAACATATTTGTGTTGGATTATAAATTCCTTTGGGATAGAGATTGTGTCTTATTCATCATTAAACTTTCTCCCCACCTCCCATAATTAGAAAGAATGTTTTATACACAGTAGGTGCTGAATTAATAAAAGAATGAGTTGTCAGTAGTATCAGTTTGTGGTATAATGTGTGGTTTTCTTTTACTGGGAAGGCAGTGGAAAGAAGTTACTGTGACCATCACAGATGATTAGCTTTTCATCGTGGCTTGGAGAGTTTGAAATCAGGTTGACGTATCTTCTGCTACTATTAGCAACCAGCCTCTGGAACCAAAACACTAAAATCTTAGAAAAGTGTAGAAGATTCCAGAGGCAAATTTTGACAACTGTCTAGTTTCTAATTCTACCTAAAGATTTTCAAGGCCATGAGTGCTGTCAGCTTAAATCAAATTTAATATTTATGTTTCTGAGAATCTGGCTTTTTGGACTGAAATCAATGTGGTGATGACAAACAATGAGGCTGACTAATGAGTAACAAAAGCTGTTCATTGTATGGACCTGTAATAAAACTCAGCTATTGCCATGATGTGATTATATTTATGAGTGTTACATTTAATTAAATATAACCTCTCTTTTAATAATGTTCACCAACATCCTTAATCCTTTGATACCCCTGGGAGAATGGAAAGAAGCCATTGTTGCCTTCCTTTATTAGAGAAGGAAACTGAGATGGAGAAAAGACATTTGTTGGTTATTCAGCAAGTTACCAGCCAGATCATAAATCCATATCTCTGCACTATGAATACCCTTACGAAATACTTCAGATCAGAGTCTAATAATCTTTGATATTCATTTGAACTAAAGGGCATGTCCTTAGTTAAAAGCAAAACTAGCCAGAGAAGTCCTATCTGCCTAGGAAATTCACAATCAAAAGTTTACAGAAACGTACTATTGGCATCCTAGTAACTTGCTCAGCTTGAACATATGCTATATCATCCTTTTTTAGAATCTTTAAAAAACTGATGCTGGAACTTTGGGTGCAGCTTAAAGTACAAACATAGGACAACTAGGGGCAATGCTCCTATGATTGAATCTGAAGTTCAGTAGAGAATTTCAGTGGCTGAAATAAACTGTAGGCATCTTACTATCGTTTTCTTTGAATTTGAAGTTTTCTTTAAGGGACCATAGATGGAAAGCTATTAAAAATTGAGCCATATTTTGCAGATTAATTTGGCTGGAGGTGTCAAAATGTCTTCATTTGCCATGACTGGGGTCCAGCACAAGGGAAACAGTCTTCAGGAGCTGATGCTGGCCTGAGCTAGTAGTATTTTATTATTAGGCAAACTCTATACAAATGTAGTTTGAGTTTCCATCTATGAATTTCATCCTACATTCATCTTATTCTGAAACAAGTAGTTGTCACTGAGGAAAGCAAGCACAGTCTTGAGGATTAGAATAGGTTTAAATCCAGGTCAAGTGCTTGCAATTCGACCTCAAGAAAATCATTCAACTCTGAATGGATTTTTCATCCAAAAAAATAAGAGGGAGAAAACTGTAGGTGAAGGGAAACTTATGAACAGAGACCTCCAGTTGAAGGTGACAGATGACTCTGGGCTTGATTAGGGCAGAGACAACCTTTTCGTTTATTTGTTTTTTGTTTGTTTGTTTGTTTTGCTCTTGTTGCCCAGGCTTCAGTGCAATGGCACGATCTTGGCTCACTGCAACCTCCGCCTCCCGGGTTCAAGTGATTCTCCTGCCTCAGCCTCCTGAATAGCTGGGATTACAGGCATGCGCCATCACGCCTTTTGTATTTTTAGTAGAGACAGGGTTTCTCCATGTTGACCAGGCTGGTCTTGAACTCCTGACCTCAGGTGATCCGCCCACCTCGGCCTCCCCAAGTGCTGGAATTACAGGCATGAGCCACCGCGTCCAGCCCATATTTTAAAAAAAAAAAGAAAGAGAGATGGCATGGATAGAGTTAAATAAGTACAGCCAAAATAAGGATGTGGATTCAACTCAATGGGCCTCAATGGCAACACCTCAAAGGGTGTGTAGAAGAGCAGCCAAGGGTGGTGGTGAAATGCATCTAAGAGCAGTGTCTAGAATCATGGAGGCCCCTACTGTCAGTTGAAGTAATTCGTATGTGAAGTGAGGAGGCCTGAAGTAGCATTGTGATGGAGGGACAGAGGGAAGAAAAATCATCAGGACTTGTTCTCTCTCTCTCTCTCTGTCTGCTTCTTTCTCCATATATTATATGTATATACACCATGTATAGATATATATTTAGAGGGATATGTATCTATATCACATATAGATACCTATATATTAATCAAAATAACTGCAAGATTTAAATCTGGCTTATGGCAAATATGACAATTTAATACACAAAGAAATAAGGCAGAAGAGGAGAGTGGGAAGAGTTTCTGAGATGTTGAAGTCAAGACTGGTGATGGCAAGTCATCCATGGGAAAACACCGACTGAGCTTTTGGTGATATGGACCTGGGGATGTAGATGTATCCAGATTTTGAGATTAAGTATGATGGTGATAGCTGAAGCCTTTGGAACAAATGAGCTCCCCACAGTGAATAGAAAAAAGAAAGAGCATAATTCAGGATTTAAGATGGAATATTGGAAGATTAAATGTGATAATGTATGTAAAGTACTTAGCACAGTGGCTTGCATATAGTAAAAGATCAATAAATGGCAGTTTTTACTGTAATTAAGTACATGCAGCTTAAAAAGATAAGGCAGAGAAGGAGCTTGTAAAGGAGAGAGAGGCATGCATGGTGAACTACCGCAGCTCTTCTTTCAGACTGAAGAGTGTGGTCTCTAATGTAAGGGAGCCAGTTCTCTGTATGAGGATGCCTCAGGGCTCCCAAAGATCATCTTCCACAAAACTCCTTATCAGCTATAAAAGAAAACTAAATATTAACAGCTTTGTTGGTGGGTGGAGTTCCTAAGAGCTATATCAATGGTTCATTCAGGCATTAACTGGGAGTGATGTAAAATATGACCCATGCTCTTTTTATGTTTTTTTTTAAGCCAGAGTGTGTGAGAGTCTACCATTATTCTTCTCCTAGCCAGTTAAGGTCACCCTTGGGAGCATAAAGTGTGGATCAAACTATTTTTGTTTAGGTTGAGTGTATAGACAATTAGCATCAACTAGAAAAGAGACCTCCCCTTTACGATTATCCCTCCAGTTTTACGGCCACTTGACCTCAAATCCATATATCTAGTCAGCTTTCTGACCAAGCAGCCCTCACATGAGGCCCTTTGAATGTTATAGTACCCATGGAAACTTGTATAGGTAGATACTACTAGAAAAGCAGTCATTCATTTATTAACATATATCAGGCACCTCCTCTGATCCAGAGCAGTATCACCCACACTCAAAAAATAACAAGTATAGAAAAGGGTGGTCAATGAATAAAGGAGCAGAGAAAAAATAGTGAGGGCTAAAGAGACACAGGCTGTTGATAAAATGCCACAAAGCATTTAACTCTTCATCTGTCTTCATAAGCTTTCTCCATTTTATAACAGAGAAGACAATTAGACATGTAGGCTACTCAATCATAATTTGTGAATTCTAGGAGAAATTAATGATTCTTAAAAAAGAAGAGTTTTTTCACTTTTCCTACATCAATCCAGCATGAGCACAAATGTATCTCTGTTAAGGCTAGGGGGAGAAAGGGGGAGGGAGAATATGAATACTGCCAGAACAAGCTCAACAGACAGGAACAGAAAAGAATTTTACTGGCAGAAATTAGAAATTGTTCTTTCTCACTCCACCAACACATAAGTAATAAACGCAGAACTACCTTCTGCTGCCTTTATAAGCTGTGTTGCAAAATGATGCCTCAAGGGATAGAAGTAGAATCTACCATGCAATAAAACTATACCACCCTACTCAGAACACCTGAACCTATTACAAAAATTTCCTTTTTTTTTCTTTTTTTTACTCATGATGTCTTTGATATAGACCCAAAGTTAGCTCATAAATGAAGTTAAAACCTTTTGGCCATGGGCCTTTGTAAACCCTCCAGAACTGAAAAGTCTATGATGCAGTCTATAGAATTAATAAAAACCATTACACACATGATTTAAAATGAGTGTTTTATGCATGAGACATGTAATGTTTCAGAGTGTACCAGACATGTAATAGAATGTTTAAAAAGAGTCAGGCTTGATGGCTTATGCCTGTAACCCCAGCACTTTGGGAAGCTGAGGCAGAAAGAAGGGTCACTTGAGCCTAGAGTTCAATCCCAGCATGGGCAACATAGTGAGACCTTGTGTCTACTAAAAATAAAAATAAATTAATTGGGCATGGTGTCATGTGTTTGTGCTCCCAGCTACTTGGGAGACTGAGGTGGGGGGATCACTTGAGTATGGGAAGTTGAGGCTGCATTGAGCCAGGATCTCACTACTGCACTCTAGCCTGGGCGACAGAATGAGGCCCTGTCTCAAAAAAAAGTAGGCGAGATTCTGTCTCTTTTCGACTGAGAACCCTAAGATAATGAACGGCAACCCATCCCCTATTCAAAAGTGAGGTGAAGCTCCTCAGAACAGGGCTTACAGCTTTATGACCATTAGTTATTCACTCATCCCCTGCCTATAAAAATAAGGTTGAACATGCTGAGAAAGTTTTTGTCAATTAAAAAAAAAAAAAGTTTTATTCTAGAATGAATTGTGGAACCATGGTGTCATTTTCCTTCTCCATTGTGCTCACTTTGCCCCAACATGGAGCCCCCCCATAGTACCCCAATCCCAGTGACAGGAGTGTCAAGGACAGCATCAGAGAATTCAGTATGTGTCTCCAGGTCAAATCACGAGAAATCTAAAGGGTTAAAGGCTGCCTGAAGTAACCTGAGCTAGCAAGACAGAGCACTGTCTTGTTGGTAGGTAACTAGGTCACTGCTAACAATAGGGCTAAGGTGCTTGTGTGCCATGGATCAGTTGTGAGAAACACAGAAGAAAGGCTGCTGGTCTGGAACTTGTTTGGAGAGTGCCCAGGAGGATTTTCAGAGGGGGATAAGACAATCTTCAGCAGAAAGAGGCTCAGAAGTGTCAATGGGTATGGAAGTTGCAGCCAGGGGAGGAGGGAACGGTTGAGTGACCCCCCAGGGGAATGTTTGAGGAGGTCACAACAGTACCACTAGATGCTTTGCTTGCATCTCTGCCATAGCTAGAGGAAATTAAGACCACTAAAGTGGTGCTAGTCAGACTTTTGCTATCCCACACCTCTGGTGCCTTCCTGTACTTCAATATTAAAGGAGCCAGAGAGAACCTAGTGAGTGGGGAAGAAGGAAAGGAAACAACCCACGTGCTCCCATCCACACCCAACTGCACAGCAAGCTTCCAGTTGAAGCAGGTCCAAATTAGGGAAAAGAAAAAGATGTAACTTTGAATGAATTTCAAAATTTTTACTATTACAGTGAACTAGATATATTAATTATTGAACTAAGGCTGTTTTAGGAAATCAAGTGACCAGAGGAGACAGATTTTATTGTCTAATTGTAAGCATATAAGATATGAGCTCTACCCAAGATTTCATCTGAGAGCAGAGGAAGATGTAACAGCAGAGAGTACAGGCAATAAAGAGAAAGCACAAAGCTCTTTCCTGATTGCACCCCACTTTGTGCTATCTGTCCATAGGTCCTGCTGAAAGGAGCTAATTTGTCCCTTGTGATGCCACCTCATTCCCAACTCCTGGCCATAGTTCATTAGACCAGGGAAGGCTATCTGACCAAAGTCAGCCAAACAATAGCCCAGCCAGTGACCTGTGACATAGCCTTGAGAAAAAGATAAAATAAATCATTTTCCTTGGTATGACAGTAGGAGAAAAACAAATAAACAAACAAGAGAATTAGTGTACTTCGCCATGAGAGTTGAAGCAAAAATATCATTCATTAATCCAACAAATACTTATGGAGTGCAGTACTATATTATAACAAAGAATTAAAAACATAAAGTCCCTGTCTTCAAGGAACTAACATTCTAGTGGGAAAGAGGACAAAAAGCAATGAAACAAATAAATAGATGAAAGAACGACAGATGATTATTATTGCCATGAATGAAGTAAATAAAGTATTTGGATAAGGAACAGCAAGGGGGAGGGACACTTTATGTAAGGTGGTTTGGGAAGGGCTATCTGAGATGTGATATTTAAACTGAGATCTGAAGAATGATAGAGATTCAGATTTGTGTATAGTTGGGGAAAGAATGTTCCAAATATAAGGAGAAGCAATTGCAAAGACCCCAAGGAAGGAAATTCTCAGCAGATTCCCAGAACTGACAGACAGCCAGGGCAACTGGAGCAGAGTGAGTAAGAGGGAAAGATGAGATCAGAGAGGGAGACAGAAGCCAGATCATGCTGCGATTGGGAAGCCATGGTGAGCACAATGCAAAGCAATGACACAGAATTGAGGCCAGTGTGGACTGTGTGAAATGTACCTTTAGAAAAGAGTAGAGACTGAGCAGTAACTGAACTATCTACTAAAGCTTACAGCTGACAAGTATCGAGTGTTTTCAAACCTGTCGATGTTCTATATCAGAGGTCAACAAACTTTTTCTAAAAATGGCTAGATAGTAAATATCTGACGTTTTGTAGGCCTTATAGCCTTGGTCACATCTACTTGACTCTGCTGTTATAGTATGAAAACATCCATAGACAACATGTAAATGAATTAGTATGTCTGTGTATCAAAAAAAAAAAACTTTTATTTTTGGACACTGAAATTCGAATTTGATATAATTTTCATAAGTCAAGAAATAGTATTTTGAGAGTCTCTGAGCCTATTCTGGCTTGGGAGGCTGCCTGATTTAAAAAAATTAATAAATAAAGTAAGAAATAGCTTTTATTTTTAATCCATTTATAAATGTAAAACAAAAAAACATTCTTAGCATCCTTCTGGCCATAAAAAATAAATAATGAACAGGATTGGCCCACAAGGCATAGCTTTCTAACCACTGTTCTACATGCTTTTATTTGTAAATAACTCATTTAATAGTTTCAACAACCCCATGAGACAGAAGCTATTAATATACTCACTTCGCAGAAGAAACTGAGGCAAAATATCTCACAGCTAGAAATTGGCAGAACCAAGAGATTAACCTAAGCGAATCTGGTCCCAGATCACATGCTTTTAATTTTTCAATCCTGCGTCATGTTAATAAATAATTCAAATTTAACATATGACTGTTTTTACCAGACCCTACAAGGCCTTACTTAATCGGATCCCTGGATACCTTTCTGACTCTATTATCCATGAATTTTCCCTCTGCTCTCAGCACTCCATCCCTAACTGATTTTGGTGTTGATCCCAACACAACAAGCATATTCTTGCCTTAGGGTCTTTGCACTTGCTGCTTCCTCCACCAGGAACACTGTTGCCCTGTGGCTTCCTCTCTCAATTCATTCAGGTCTGTACTCAAATTTTACCTTCTTGGAGAGACTTTCTCTGATTATCCTATCTAAAATAGCATCCTGCTATTCCCTATTTTCTTTCCCTGCTTTATTTTTCTCCACAGCATTTATTGCTGCTTGGCATTATATATTTATCATCTGTTTGTTGCCTGTCTCTTTCTATTAAAGTCTGAACTCCATGATTTTGTCTATTTTTTTTCAACACTTCATTCTTGGTACATAGAGCAGTACCCTGCACATCAATAAATATTTGTGAATGAATGAAGAAAAAGCAATCAGGAGAAACAAGAAAGTCACAGAGATGATATTATTTAGAGAAGCCATATGTCCCTGAGAAAATTCAAAAAAGCAGTTATTTTCTAAATTGCTTTGGCTCTCACCAGATTTTCAGGCTCGATTATAGTTCAAGTATATCCTTAGAATAGCTACCCCCTCACCCCATTTGTCTCTGTTCCTTGCAACCAAAGGAACTTAACTAAACCTGAAATTGATACCAGGAATAGGGTGTTACATAATAGGTCCAATTAAAATGTGGCACTGGGTGTGTCCTGTTAGCAGGATGAAGGGCAGTAGCATCTCATTCTAGTATGAGAATACAGTAGTGTAGAGTATGTGGAGCTAAGGCTGGAAAGATGAAAAACCAGGGGCTGGGATATCTTGGGCCCTTGAAAGACAAGTATTTCAGGAATCTTGTGGCCACTGCCTTAAAGCATTTCTGAGCAATGAAAGTAAAGAATTGTGGTTTATTACTTTTTATTTTCTAAGGTAAAGTGCAAGAAGAAAAGAACAATCTTTGCTTCCAGGTTGCCCAGCTAGCAGCAGATAGAGAAACACAGGGCCATTTTACAGCCTTGTAGGTAATCCTTTTTGCATCTGTCCTGTGTCTTACAAATCAACCTGGCATGGTATGCCCATGCTGAGTGTAAAGAAAAAAAAAAGACAAATTATGCTGCCCAGAAGTGGGTTAATGAGCAGGAAAGGATTGTTCTGTAGGGCCTCCCCTCATAGGGAACTCCTACAGCAGTGTGAAAACTCAGGCAGTGTGATTGGTGACCAACAGCAAGTTCCTCTCCAAAGAATCAAGAATGTAAACTGTTACCTATGGGAACTACTGGTGCTATCACATAGCCTATAATCCACAAGAAGCTAGCCAAATAGTTCAAGCTTGACTGCCGGTTGTAGGGTGTGGATAGGGGGATTGCTGCAGATGATTGCAAGCCTAGAGTGTAAATGGGCAATGAATGAATTGCAGATGTATTTATGTTGCCTCGCCACCTTCAGCCCTTCTGAGAGGAACTGCTCTGTTCAGCAACCTGACGGTGTCCAGTTAACCTGGTTATATAGCACAACCTTTGCCCTGTTGCCTCAACAACTGTTGCTAAGAGAACCAGGCAGGCTGTACATCCCAGGCTTACTTAACATAGTAAATGTTTCTCAGTTGCCTCTATTTGTTATTTGAATTCATAAAAAGCAATGAATATTTTAAAGCTATAGTACAAAAGCCCAATAAATTCACATAGACAACTCTCATGCTCTATTTTGCCACATTTAACAAACATAAATATCCAATGATTTAAAATGTAAGATGATTACTGTTTTCTAAAATAGTCATTATTTTAAGAACTATAATGAAGCTCATCTCAGCCTTTGTTTAAAAAAAAATCCTTATTTAAAATGTTAAAGGGCCAGGTGCAGTGGCTCATGCCTGTAATCCCAGGACTTGGGAGGCCAAGACGGGTGGATCACGAGGTCAGGAGTTTAAGACCAGCCTGGCCAACGTGGTGAAACCCCATCTCTACTAAAAATACAAAAATTAGCCAGGTGTGGTGGAGCATGCCTGTAGTCCCAGCTACTCGGCAAGCTGAGGCAGGAGAGTTGCTTGAACCCAGGAGGCAGAGGTTGCAGTGAGCCAAGATCACACCACTGCCCTCTAGCCTGGGCAACAGAGCGAGGCTCTGTCTCAAAAAACATAAAAATAAAAATAAAAATTTTAAAGTAACTTAATGTATTCGTTAGGAATAGATATGACTGTAAATAACAGTGAATTAAACAGAGCAGTTTATTTTTCTATCAGATAAAAAGTAAGGTGGTCCAGGGCTAGCATGAGAATCCACAATCCTTAATATTAATGCTTCCTCCAGCTCTCTGTTTTGACATCCTATGACAAAGTCCATATTCATGGTCCAAGATGGCAGCTAGAGTTCAGTCATCACCTCCTTTTTCCAGGTTGCATAATGGAGAAAGAGATGAAGAAGAAGGGGAGAAGGCACTCAGTGACTACATTTTCAAACTGTTTCCTGGAAGGTGCTGCACAATCTTTCTGCTTATGTCACATTAGCTAGAACTTAATCTTAGCTGCAAAGAGAGTGGGAAATGTCTATATTCTGGGTGGCTGTGTGCCTAGATAAATATTGGGAGTTATATAACTATGGAAAGAGAAGAATAGATATTGAGGTAAACAACTAGCAATCTGTGCGACATTTCAGAATGGAGCTCTGGAATTCTGTTTCCAGAGCAGCTTAGCCACAGTAGTTGCTAAGGATAAGGAAAGATTAATCCATGTGACGATTGAGATATGCCTGGATAGATGTAGAAAAAAAAATGGAGGTATAAATTTATGTGAAAGAGTAAGGATAGAATTTTTTTTTTTTTTTGACGGAGTCTCACTCTGTCATCTAGGCTGGAGTTTAGTGGCGTGATCTCAGCTCACTGAAAACTTCACCTTCCAGGTTCAAGTTATTCTCTTGCCTCAGCCTCCCAAGTAGATGGGATTATAGGCATGCACCACCATGCCCAGCTAATTTTTGTATTTTTAGTAGAGACAGAGTTTCACCATGTTTGCCAGGCTGGTCTCCAACTCCTGACCTCAAGTGATACTCCCGCCTCAGCCTCCCAAAGTGCTGGGATTACAGGCGTGAGCCACTGCACCCAGCCGGGATAGAATGTTGTGATTCTTAAATATAAAAAGGAAATTAACTATTGGTTGAAAAATACTAACGTGGGGTTGGAAAGGAGAGCTATGCTCTTAATGGATACCTCCACTGCCCTTCATGTTGCAGAAGTGAGAGTGTAGCAGGAATGGGGAAGAGTCACTTTAAAGTGATGAGTAAAAGCAGGGCTTGGAACACTATGGCTCTAGGATCAAATCCAGCTATTTTTGTAAATAATGCTTTATTAGAACACAGCCACTTTCATTCATTTACATCTTGTCTGTGGCTGCTTTCATGCTATAATGGCAGAGTCAAATAGTTGCAACATAGACCATGTGGTCTGCAAAGCTGAAAATATTTGTTATCTGGGCTTTTACAGAAAGTTTGCTGACCTCTGATTAAAACACCTGAATGAAGTGATCCAGTCTCTGACTTTAATACTTCCTATGGTCTTAAGCAATTTCACGTGCAGTAAAATTGTGGATTTCACTGTAACAGTGGGTTATAAATATAATCTGATCTACAATCACAAGGATGCAGTAGCTGCATATTATTGGGGAAAGGGCAATGTTCCTTTTCTAAAATAATGGGTTGTCATTTTCCCTGGAGAAGTTTCTATTTCTTACTGTAGCTTGTTAGGTTTTCTCTGGCTCTGCATTCTCCTGTTTTCATAAGACCCCTTGCACAAACTAACACAGGAACAGAAAACCAAACACCACATGTTCTCACTCATAAGTGGGAGATGAACAATGAGAACACATGGACACAGGGAGGGGAATATCACACACCGGGGCCTGTCGCGGGGGCAGGGGCAAGGGAGGGAGAGCATTAGGACAAATACCTAATGCATGCATGCGGGGCTTAAAACCTAGATGACCAGTTGATAGGTGCAGCAAAACACCATGGCACATGCATGTCTATGTAACAAACCTGCACGTTCTGCACATGTATCCCAGAACTTAGAGTAAAAATTTTTTTTAAAAAAAGACCCTTTGCACTGCTATTGAAACAATCAAATGTGAACCTGAGCTCTGATACAGAATGATAATATCCCCAGGAATTCATCATACATATTGTGCTGCTGTTGTTTTAGTGCAAAGTGAAGGGATTTAATGTTCTTAAGTTAATGAATTTACCTATTCAAATAAAACATCAATTTACAGAGCAAAGAAAGAGAAAAGAAAATCATCTTTCAATTTTTCATCTTTCAATTTTTAGATCAAATGACCCCTCCTCCTTAAAGGATTCTGTTATCTACTAGACAGAATCACTCTTAGCCTCTTCTGTCTTCCTGTAGCATACAGCTTCTATCTCTATTGAATCTGTCACATTATGCCTTGTTTTGAGGTTGTCTATGAACAGATCTACCTTATTCTCTAAAATGTTATAATGGTATAACTTATTAGCTTCTAAATGTCCAGGGTCCAGCACAATACCTGGCACCTAAAAGGTGCTCAACAAATGTTAGTTGACTTTAAATGTGCAAAAGGAAGACTGTTAGGCTCCACCGCATCTCCTCTGTCTTCTCCATTGCGGAGGCTGTCAGATCTGCCTACAGCCGACCTTGTTCTGGACAACGTGTTCTCTCCTCCTTTCCCTTCTCAGTTTACTTGTTCATTTCCAGATCTATATAAGCTATAAACGTGTGAGAATCTATCACATTTAAATTTTCAAAATATGGATTTTCTTCTATCTCTAAAAATTCTTATTCTGTGATATTTTTGTTCACTGGACAGTGTTTTCCCTTGCTTCCTTTTCCATCCTTAAATTACCTTCACCCTTATGCACTCCACAGAGCAGTGAGGCAGAAGAGACAGAAAAGGAGCTTGATTTCCCTACATTCCCTACCTCCCTTCCTCTGTGCTCCATTGATCCAAAATCTTTGGACCCATCTTGGCAAGAACTGACTGATCAGAAGTGCAGCAGCTTCCCTGTCCTGAATTTTAAGCCTCATAACAGAGGAACAGTCTCTTCTTATTCCCACTGTCATCAAAACATGGCCTTAGCTACGAGGACATATAATTATTTTAAAGAATTATTTTAAAAAACAATTTCATGAAAAACTAATTATGATAAAACTAGGAACCCACAAGAGTCCATACTCCCATGATGCCTTCATAGGCCATGGACCAGCTCTGCCCTGTTAGCAAGGGGCCTAACAGCAAGGATCAATGCCTCTTTTGGCCCCAGTCCTTTGTCTGTGGGCCCTTTTGCCTTTTCCTAGTGTTACTGTTGCCAGGGTTGATTCTTAGTGTTCTAGCTTCTGACGTACCCACCATATGCAGCTGCCAGACTGAAAGGGAAGAAAAATTGATTTCAGCTTCCAGCTTGAGAATGTTCACGCTGCTCTGACCTTGAACAGGGCTACTTCACTTTCTTGCCAATCCTCAGTCCACAGCCAAGGTTTACTTTCAGTACTGTTTTGATGCATTTTGCAGGATTTTTTTTTCTTCACATCTTTTCTGTGGCCTCTCATCTTGCCTGGCCTTGCGCCCTGATCCTCTCCAAACCCAGCAGGGCCTCCTAGCCAACCAGGAGAATGATGGGCACTAAGACAGAGTTGCAGCACCAGCTCCTGGCAGGCTGACGGGTACCAGGGAGGACCAGTGGCCAGGAGAGAACTGAGGCTGCCTGGTCCATCTCTCTTAGCCTGAGAATTGCCTTGACCCTTGTAAATAAAGAGAGACTGGTCCTAATATTGAAGTGGTATGACCTCTGCCAGGACATATGCCTATTTTTGCCTCCTTTTAAATTTATAACATAAAAATACACCAGGAAGTTACAAATATTCACAAAGAAAGAGACTCAATGTCAGAGCAGTGGTAAGCACTCCTTGGAAGAGAGTAGTGATTGCTTTAGGCTAGAACCACTAAAGATTTGAGAAAGTCATACAGGAGAACTCAAATTTGATCAGACTTTCCAACAATAAGATCCAAACTAGATTAGGTAACTCCGTAGTCAAGCAATTACACTTATTTTTCCAGTGAGTATATCTTATTGTCAGAAGTTGTACTTGTCTAGGAAATACTGATTCTTGCACAGTACTGTGATTCTAGAATCTTCTATGCCTGCCACAGCCCATACCTCTTTCCTGGGTCACATCCCAGCAAAAGGTGGCTGCATGACTCTCTCTGAGGCAAAGTTTAGCCTTACTGCTAGGAAGTAAAATGAAGATTCTTAATTTCTTCTGTAGGCTGGAAGTCAGTAAAGGAGAGACAGGAGATCTCGTTCCAGTTCCATCTTGGCTTGCTTTATATCTCTGGACCTCAATTTCTTCCCTTTACAAAATAAATAGGCTAAATCTTTCTTTAACATTCCTTCCAAGCTCTGCTGCAATAATTCATTCCTAGCTGCATCAAGTGCATCATAACTCTGAAGGCAAGAGGAAAATGATTGGTGCTCAGGTCCACTGATTTCTTTTTGCAGCACAAATGGAAATTCTTTACAGAGAAAAGCTGCCATATAGCCTTAGATATGGAGGAGAGGAGTTGTTATCAAATAAAGCTATACTCCAGCTGTCCTGGACATCAGTTCTTCTTGAGAAGCAGTAGAGTCTATAGAGACCAGCAAGAATCATCTACTTCAAGCATCATTTCTGTCCTCCACTGCTCATCCAGTTCACTACACACTGAGCAAGCACTTTTATGTGCCAGGCATTATTAGAAATACAGAAATGAATTAAGATCCTTTTCCAAATCAAGCTCACAGTGTTTGATAAAAGAAAAACCTAGAAAGGTAAAAACCCAAGGGTCCTAGCTGATGGGCCATTCTGAACCTCTTGTTCACCTACTCAGGAAGAAAATTAAGTAGAGATTCAGAAGAAGATCTTGGAAATCAGACACACCTGGATTCAAATTTGGGCAAGTTAATCTCTCTCCTTCAGTTTCCCCACCTTTAAAATGGCATAATGATAGTATATTTCTCAAAGAATTAGTGAGATAGTTCATCTAAAAATTCTTCACTTTTTTTCCACAAATATTTTTTGAGATATTCTATGTATCAAGCATTTTGGAAGATAACTAAGGATACAACTTTGAGTTGTTGATGTGGTCTCTCCTCTCATAAATTTGCAGTGTGGTGCCAATATTTACTAGGTATTACATAAATAAATTTATAGATTGCAATCATGGTAAATGCTATGTGTCATTGGGTTCTGCAGAGTTAGATTCAGAGAAAGAGTCAGAAGCATACAAGATTCATTGGGGGTTAATGTCCGAGAAAAATTAAGGGTGGAAGAAGCAGGATTGGGCAGGAATGAGCGTCAGACTGCAATGCTGTTGTCAAAGTCTTGGCCAATCAAAGAGAGACTTGGAAACAAAGATTGTCTAATAGAGGAATCCCAGTTGGATAGAAATGATCAGATGCTAGTCCCCTTACTACGTCCAGCCACGACACTGGGGCTGCTCCAGAAGAGTGTGGCTGAGGCAGGCCCTGAGACACTAACGGCTGGAGGCAGTTAGTCGTCTGCACTCCTTTCAGCTGAATGGCAAGGTCTTGAAGGGACATCCTCTTGGTGTACCCCCATAGCTGTCCACACTGTGAAGGAAGCAATAGGAGAGGTTGCCTAGGCTTTCCTGACAAAGTTTCTCGCAGATGTGGAGGACGAGGCAGTGTAAACCAGACCCAGAGGTGTAGGCAGGAGCTGTCCAGGATTAAGAAAGAACACGTGTGAAGCACCAAGCCAGGAGACGGCAGTGTTTGTTTTAAGGGACAAAAAGAGAACAAGAATTGAAGCTGAAGAGGCTGGAGCCAGATACAGTAGGGCCTAGTAGGGATATGTTAGGATTTTGATCTTTATCTTAAGAGCAAAGGGAAGCTGGTGAAGGATTTTAAGAAAGATATGGAGGAGTCAATAACATGATCAGATTTGCATTTTTAAAAAATTACTGTTGCTGTTATGTTGAGGAAAGAATTAGAACAAGAGGAAATGCAGGAAAACCACTCGGAGGTTCTTGCACAATGTTTCGCACATAGTAGTAAGCCCTCTAAAAATAAGACCGACATAGTCTTTATTAATAATTATAAGCCTAGCTGGGTGCAGTGGTTCACACTTGTAATCCTAGCACTTCAGGTGGCCAAGGCAGGCGGATCGCTTGAGCTCAGGAGTTCGAGACCAACCTGGGCAACATGACGAAACCCCATCTCTACGAAAAAATACAAAAAAAAAAGTTAGCTGGGCTTAGTGGCGTGCGCCTGGAGTCCCAATTACTTGAGTGGCTGAGGCAGGAGAATCACTTGAACCTGGGAGGTCGAGGCTGCAGTGAGCTGAGATCATGCCACTGCACTCCAGCCTGGGTGACAAAGTGAGACCCTGTCTCAAAATAATAATAATAATTATTATTATTATAAGCCTGAATTACATAGTCTTACTCTTACTCCCTCCATTAAATCTAGACACTTTTGCATTCACTTTAGGCTCTCTACCAGTTACCTCTTTATTTATCATAAACAGCATTGTTCAATAACTTTACATTTCATTACTCTATTTCAGACATTATGCTTTGTTTTAAAACTCTTCCTGTTCTCTGAACACATTTCTACATTTTTGCTCCAAACCACAGTTCTTGCCCATCTGAATGCCTTTCCCCATTCTCTGCCAAAAATTATTTTCCTCTTGTTCCAAACTCTGCTAAAGTCTTTCTGGCCCACTCCACATAGCCTGATATTCCCTTCTTTTCATCATCCTTCTGGTAATAACAGAGCACTGTAAAGCTATAGTGTGTATTGGAATGTGTGCTTATGTTCTTTTCATGTTCTTCTCACTTCTTTTGAACTCTTAGAAATCAGAGACTTGAGGAGGAAATAGGCATAAAGGATAGCTTATCTGTTCAAGAAGCTTAGCATTTTTTAAAAAAAGAAAATAATAGTTGGAAATGATCCAAAAACGTAGGTTGTTTTGGACAGAAAATGGGAGCAAATGCAAAATAAAAACTGCTAGAGAAGCAAACATAATTGTTATGTGCTGGGAAAAATAGCTAAAGATGAAAGGAACTAAAATGTATTGAGTTATTACCTAGTGCCAGTCACTATTCTAAAAGCTTGGCATATATTATCTCATTTAATTCTCACAACAACTCTATGAAGTATAATTCTTATCCTTGTTTTATAATGCTGAATGATGTATATCACCCAATTGCCTGAGCTCTAAAGAAAAATAAAATTTTCTTGGGCAGCTAATTGTTGAGCTTTAGTTGTGCCATGTGATGAGAAGGAGGGAGGGTCACTAGAAAGAAAAGGTGATAGCAGCCAAATGGCTTCAGATAATTAATTTCACTTCCAGAAGAAAAGACTGGGTAGTGGGAAGTAGAGGGAAGAGATATAGGCAAGGAAGTAGGAGTTAGAAAGGAAAATCAACAATATATTTCAAGGAAGTTTTGTATATTCCTTCCCCATCTCCTTAAGAAACTTTAGTGAAGACCTAGACTGCTCATTTTTGTTTCAGGGTTTTTGTTTATTTTGTTTTTATTCTCCAATTGTGTACCTAATCTGGCCTTGAAGGAAGAGCTAGATAGCCCAACTCTTTCAGATTTATCTGGAGATAAGTTCTCCCAGGATTTTGGAGGAGTATAAATTGCAAGAATTAACTTTGGACAAAGAGGTACCTATTTATCTGGATCAACAGGATAAAATAAGGGAAGAAGAATGAGAACAGTTTTCTCTCTCTATGTTACAGTGAAGGAAGACTTTGAAAGAGCAGAATCGTGAGGAATGATGCCAGTGCCATTTGCTGAAAATGAAAGCAGGAACTTGGACCAGAAGTTTTAGAATCCTGAATTTATCAAAGAAATGTGAAGGCTGAGGCTTACAGAGATCGAAGAGTAGAGGATGCATTGAGGCCACAGTTGAAGGAAAGAAGCCTGGATTTCCACTGAATTTGGGCTAAATTTCCACTATTCTTCTTCCTCTTCCTTAAGATTCTGCTCATTGGGTTACCCACCAACCCAGGAAACAGACTTATCTCCTTATCCTCAAGTTGCTGAAGGCAGGAAGAATGAGCAAGGTTTTGCTCAAGGAAGAGCTATTGTAACAAAATAATTGTAATTAGTCTGATAGTGCAGGGAAAGAAACTCCATTTCTTCTGAGGAATTCGGGGCATTATTTGCATTTGAAAAAGCAATCTCATTAGAGCAGTATGTTATATTATAAGACATTTTGCAGAAAAATGTTTGAGAAGAACCATAGCAGTCTCTTGCATGTGCATGTGTGCCCACACACAGACACACACACACTCTGAATTTTCCACTTAAAAGTACATATACTTCAATTAAAAAGCAATTTGAAAAGTAATATAAATTGATCAGGGGATGTTCCTAAATTTAAAGAGGGAAAGACTTGTAGAGGTTTAAAAATAAAAGGACTTGGGGTTGGAGGAACAGGCATTAGGGAAAGCTATATGGCAAGGTTAAAAGAATTGTGGAATTAATGCTATTTAAAAATAATTGCATTAGAAATCTAGCTAATGGGAATTAGTCCATTTCATTGACTTAGATAGTTATAAAATTAATTCCTTTTTGTGGGAATTTTAATTGGGTGGCTACAACCAGATGCACATGAGGAATCCCCTCCTGGTGCTAGAATTGCAATCAGGATGTTCAATTCAACAACAGAGTTCGATTCATCAATTGGGTGAATCTCCCAATCTAAAAAGGTTCCGCATAGCTACTATGCACCTAAAATTGCCCCCAAATGGTTTTCTTACTTTCATGTTATTCTAAGTTTTTTACTCTTGGTGAAACCTCCTCACATGCTAGGCTACTTGTCTATTTTCATCCCCCCTTAGCCTCACTTCCCAAAATATTTTATCATTTTCTCTTTTGGGTCAACAATTACGGAAAATAAAATTATTTCTATTTCAAAGGATTTTAATTATCTTCTTATTCTCTTTTCCCAGTTTATAGGTTAAAAATCCAAGACTAAATAGGTGAATTTCCCCAGGATCATGTGCAGCTGTTTAAGGGGAAGAGTGGGAAAAGGCCTAGAACCCAGGTCTTTCTACCACAGGCCTCCAAACGTGCCACCTGCTGTTCAATAACTTTCATGGAGTAGCTTTCTCATCCTCTAATTTTCCCTCCCAGGAGCCTTTGCCAGCTCATTATTGCTCCCCTGTGAGATGGAGATCAATATTACACACACACAACATGTTTATGCAAGTGCAATTTCACATGCCCTGGTTTGTTTCCTAAACACATTTTGTGGCCTTTTGGCCTAATTTGCACATTGGGCATATGTCTCACTTTAAGTAGGCTGGCCCAAATGCCTTCCTTCTCCAGGGAGTCTTAAAACAGAAAAAAAGAATTCAATAGGAAATTAAAAGAATACAAGAACACTTGAAATAATACAAATACATAACAGAAAACTAGAAGTCATGATCCCATCTCCTCACCCAACACTGTAACCATTATGATGCATATATTAGTCCACTTTCATGATGCTGATAAAGACATACCTGAGACTGGACAATTTACAAAGGAAAGAGGTTTAATGGTCTTATAGCTCCACGTGGCTGGGGAAGCCTCACAATCATGGTGGAAGGCAAGGAGAAGCAAGTCACATCTTACATGGATGGCAGCATGAAAAGAGAGAGCTTGTGCAGGGAAACTCCCATTTTTAAAACCATCAGATCTCATGAGACTTATTCACCATCATGAGAACAGCATGGGAAAGACCTACCACCATGATTCAATTATCTCCCACCAGGTTTCTCCCACAACACATGGGAGCTACAAAATGAGATTTGGGTGGGGACAAGAGTCAAACCATATTAGTTCACTTCCTTTAGACTGTTCCTGTAGGCATCCCCTTTTCATTATCATTATTTTTCCTTAATTCAACTTAGTTCAAACCCAGTGTTGGAATAAGCTGTCTATAAACTGCCTTGCTCTTCCCTGGAATCCATGAAAAAGCATCCCAAGAACATCAATACATCTAGAGCCTCACCCAACACATAACTGGGAGTTGGAAATAACTTTTCAGCCATTCTTTGGTTAGAAGGTTGTGGCAGAGATTTCTAATTGCCTATTTAATGTCCATAATTCCCTTTATCTTACTAAGAGAACTCCAATTTTATTGAAGGCAACTCAGTGCTAAGTTTAAAAACTATATTTCCACAGCTTCTTTTTAAGTTAGGATTGGTCATATCAAACAGATTTGGTGAAAGGATGTAAGCAGAAATCACAGGGTGGACTACTGAAGAGAATGCTCTTTAAAGGGGACTGGCTGACTTAGTTGATAAGTAGAGTTTGCTTTCCTCTCTTCCTTCTTCTTCCTCCCTGTATGGTGGATGTGATGGTTGGAGCTGCAGCAATTAACTGTGACCATGAAGCAATACTGAAGATGAAAACTAGATGCTAAGGATGTTGGCATCTAAAAGAATAAGGGTGGGATTCTCTGACATTGTGGTGCTTCTATACGAGCTCTGGACTAACAACTGCTCGACTTTACATTGCTTGAGAGAAAGGCGCATTTCCATTTTACTTAAGCCACGCTTTTTATTAGATTGTTTTTTACTTGAAGCTAAAAAGTACTTGTTAATATAGGGGCCAAATAATCCTGAAATGTGTACAAGGAAAGCTTCCCTTGAAGCCCTAATGGCTCCTCTGAGCCTGAATCTTTTGGTTACCTGGGATTCCCCAGTCATCTCTATGCACTCCTACCTTCCATGTTGGTATCTTGGCAAAGCCAGAACCTCAGCTTTTGGACTCTTTGGGCTTGACACTCTGGACTCGTAGTGCTGAGCTCTTTTCCTCTTACACTGCCCCTGTTTCCAGTTGCATTCCCCAAAAGGTCCTGACTTTGCCTGGGAAGCTCTTGCTGCTTCCAAATTTTACCTGTCCTCACTCCCATTCCCACCCCAATTTAGTTTGTGCACCTGCTAGGGGTCATCTTGGCCAACTTTCTACCAAACGCTTAAAGAATATTTATATGTGGTATTTATTTGTAGGACATTCTCTAACATCTTCTCTAGTGATTTTTATCCAAGATTTCCAGATTTATTTTCCCCCTTTCCTAACAATCTCTATCAAGCTGAGTGACTAGTTCCCCCATGGTTCTTAGAGAGGGGTAATCACTGTGAATTAGACTCAGCCTAAAATCTATCCATAGGTGGCTAATGAAGAAGCTTCTGTTACTATAAAATTTTTTTCCCAAAGGTTAGCCATAGAAATAGAGAGGGCCTATTCCATTTCATTCTTTTTACCTCTTAACCTTTCTAATCGAGTTGTGATTCTGGCAACACACAGAATCTTCAATCTTTAGGTTCCAGATTTACTTAATGGAGAAGTAATAACTTTCTTTTTTTATATAATTAAATCCTAATTTTATTAAGGATTTCAAGTTACATACTTCAAATTTCTAGTATGGAATGAAATCATTTTGGAACAGGAAAAATGGCGTAAACACTGACATCCCTTGACGCTTCAATTTTATAAAGAGAATTCTTCTGCAAACCACGTCCCCATTATATAACAAGACTAGGTATTATCTACACCTTCACTTTGGCAATAGCTATTTCCTAAAAGAATGAAAAGATGATTTTGCTACTTCAGTTCATTAGAAATGGGATTCTAGCTTTAAAGTTAGAAAAAGCTGAATTTAGATGAACTATGGTTACAAAAAAAAAATCACAGAGTGTCTAATCAAAGCAAAGGAAATCATTTTGAAAATAAAGAGAAAAAAGCTATTATAATTGGTTAAGGATTTCCAGTAGTAAGTTAAAAATCTCAGGAGAGGAATGGATAGCACTACAAACAATGTGTTCACATTCCAAGACCTTAACACTAACTTCTCAAAAAGGAAGTTTTCATCACCTTTAAAAATGAATTGAATGTAATTTTATTAACAGCAGGAAATCTAGACCTTCCTCTAAATGACAACCCAAAAGTCCACCCTCGCTGTCGTCAAAAAAAAGTTCAACCCCAAATTTAACAGTAATTAGCCTGAGGTATTGTAAATGTGGCTCTACAGTCTGAAATTTAATGGCATCTTTTATCAAAAATAGTCTTATGTCCACTTTAGTCTCATGACTACAATACTATAGTGCTATCCAAGTAGTATTTACTGCTATACAGTCATCAAAAATACCTGAAAAAAATTCTTGGACTTTGTGAAATAGTGCATCCATCCACTTCTATACAAATGGGAGCAACACAAAGATCTAAAGGAGTGTTGCCTGTCCAGGTCCAGAACAGAGGTACTTAACCTTTGTTTTCCAATTTAGTTATCAAAGTGTGGTATGAACAAAATGCTGAGTGTCACACTGACATTACAAATAGGCCCAAAATTTTGAGCTGTTAACGAGATTGAGAAACATTTTATGAGATTTAACTCAATATGCCTTAACACATCCTTGAGGTAGTTAGGTAAACAGTACTACCCATTTTAATACATAGTAAACAGAAGCATGGGTAAGTGACATATTCATACTTTAAGCAATAAGAATTAGAAGAAACCACAGAAGCTTGGGCCTTTTCTCTAGCTCTAACCCAAAGAAAATGAACTTTAATTTTTTTTTTACAAAAAGCATCAAATAACTGAAGATCTTCTTCTTCTTCTTCTTCTTCTTCTTCTTCTTCTTCTTCTTCCTCCTCCTCCTCCTCCTCCTCCTCCTCTTCTTCTCTTCTTCTTCTTCCTCTTCTTCTTCCACACTTGCTTATTAGTATAGTATCTCTTTCCAAAGCTGGTACCCTTCTCTTCAATAATGTGGTAAAAACTGTGTGTAACCCTTAATTCCAGCTAGGCCTCTGCTTCTACCTGAATTGGTACAAAATTAAGACATTATCTTGTAAGAACTAAAATTGTATTTGAAATTTTTATTTTAGGCTGCAAAAACAAAAACAAGCAAACAAACAGCAAATAACTTGAAAATAGGCCTGTCGGATAATGTAAATTCTTCCTTTCCAGGGAAGCAGAAGGTAGACTTTATCACAAAGAAAAGATGCGTAGTTAATGGAGTTTAAATTTAAAAGTATAGTTAAATTGAGGGTAACTTCTGAAAATCCTGTTTTATTCACCTCACTGTGGTACCAGTAACTATCCTGAGTCAGGTTACTTTACCGTTAACTGTCACCTATAACACAATAATCCATTAACCATCTAATGCAGTTATTGGATGTGTTCATACTGGAAATTCTTAACCATATAGTTGTCCTGCCAATTTTATTTTAAAACAATGAATTGTCTTAATATAAGTCACTGCATTTCTGTAACATATTAAAGAAGGTCACAACTAATCCAAGCGGACTTAACCCTATTCAACAACCAGCTGAAAAAAATACTTTGGCTCGTCAAGGAAAAAATTATGAAAAGAAAGTATTTCACTTAGCAGTCGTTAATTTTCACAGTTGTACTCCAAGAGCTACATGAAAATATTCCAGAAGAACCAAATTACGTAGCAATTAATGAACATGCGTGACAGAATTTGTGCATTCAAAATATCTGGCGGAAAAACTAGTCAAAATGCTAGAGAGGACAAATTGGTCTTTAAAATATCAGTTTCCTGTCCTTTAAAAAAGTTGCATAGTCTACCAAGAAAAAACGAAAACATAAGGCTGTAAGTAAATAAGAGTTGTGTTTAGGCTATTACAGTGCAGGTTATCCTCAAGGCCACATACATCCTGCTTCACTGCTGCTTGCACTCTGCTGCGTTTTGATCTTTCTTTGGTTCATAGTCTGGATCATTTTCCTCATCTTCTTCTTCCCCTTCCTCATCTGCTTCTTTGCCTTCTTCATCATAATCATCATCATCATCTTCAATAGCTTCTCCAGTAAAATATAACACTGATCTTGGGATTATACACTCAGGTAAAAAGTGACTGATTTGGAAGTTTGCAGCATGGATAGCTTCAGCAGCATCATCCAGATATCCACTCTCAGGAACTTCAGGAGGGGCAAAAAAATTAAAGCAAGAGTCATTGGAAACTCTTTTAGTCACAGTACAAACTGTCCCATGTCCCTTGTGTTTCTGCTGCTTCTTAATGTTTCTCAAAGTGACATTCTTTCCTTTTTTTCCAATCTATCTGGCACCCTGTACAACCCATAATTTCTAGTCCATCAAAAGAAAAGGGACCAGAATCATCTGGTTCTGACCTCATCCTATATGTCTTTGTTGGCACTTCATTTGTAAAATATTCACTGGGTTCAAAGTGAAATTCTAAGACAAAACTCATAGGCTGGCCAGCATCCAAGAACTTCACTTTAATAAATTTAAAGTGCTTCAGAATAGGTTCATCATGTTCCTGAAGCATATCACTAAGCAAGTCAACATTCTTAAAAATAGTTAACCAAAATTCAGGAATTCCTATGGGCTCTTCTTTTTCTTCATCCTTCTTCTCTTCTTCAATCTTGGCCTTTTCTTTCAACTCCTCCGAAATCTTGCCTTCTTCATCTGGTTTCCATTCACATTCTTCTTCTGTGGGTTCATAAATTGCATTAATAATCTCAAATCGCTTATCAAATAGAGGCTGATAGAGAACAGCATAGAGAAGTGATAACTTTCAAACCAATCTAAAATATTCAACTTGTGAATAGAAATAAACAAAGAAAAGTAAATTAAACAAAGAAAAGTAAATTATTAAATTAAAATATTGGCTCTTAGATTTTAGTGGTAAATAAATTTTTTCCCTGGGTTATCAGTCAGTAACATTAGCTTTTGGTTATAAATCAGTTTGGACAAGTATTGTCTCCTTGGGTTCTAGTGGCTTTTACCCAAGCCCATAGGAAAGCAATCTTCCTGATCCAGATTCCCTACTAATAAGGCATCCGCAGCACTACTGACTAATGTGATTTAAGATGGCTCATGTGTACGCCCACTTTCAAAAGAGCCTGACCTGAGATAGGGAAACATGGAAGAGACCACCATGGCTGCCCTAGGAGGAATGCGTCAGGAAAGAATGACTTGAAGGAGATAGAAGGATTGATAAAGCGCCCTCGGCACAAGTATCTCAGGCTCAGCTCTCAGGGACTTAGTACTCTCAGCAAATTCGGAACTGGTATAAAAGACATCAAAAAGGTGATCTAGTCTAGACTCAGAACATTTAATGGCTTCCTTCTCTGTCTTTAGGGAGTGCTTAAAAGATCTAACCTAGAGATTAAACTATTTCTCCCTTAGGGAATCTCATTTGCCTTTTCCTTCATTATGCAGAGCAGTTCTGCACTCATACACCCCAGCTTCCACCTCCAGATTTTATCCCCACCACCTATGAAGACTTGGCAAACAAAGGGCATTCTAGCTACCAGGACTGCCTCTCAGAATTATATATAACATTTCTTTCTCTTACACACAGATAAAAGACAAAATGAAAATAGTTAAAAATCAGTTCAGGTGGTGGAACTATGGGTGATTTTTTTTCTTCTTTCTATTTTCAGTCTTCTCATATTTTATTTGATTATAATACATATTAATGAGCTCTAACATTTCCTGAGCACTGACTCTGGGCCTGGCACTGTGCTAAGCACATTACGTATTTTATCTCACTTAATCCTCTTTAGAAGTATGTGAATTTACATATAAGGAAGCTAAAGAAAGTAAGTAACTTCTCAGTGGGTACTCTGTATATCAACCCTGGTCTATCTGACATTAAAGTCAGAACTCTTAACTACTACATTTATTTGGTTGTAAGATATTGAAACTAGAAACTTAACCATGGGTTTATCTTAGGGAATTGGACTGTTATAAAAATGAGAAGATGGCCGAGCACAGTGGCTCATGCCTATAATCCCAGCACTTTGGGAAGCTGGGACGGGAGGATCGCTTGAGCTCAGGAGTTTGAGACCAGACTGGGCAGCATGGCAAAACCCCATCTCTATTGGTTTGCCAGGGGAACCAATCCTGTAATTAGAGGGTTGGAACATTTAGTTCCACCATTCAACCTCCCAGGAGGGGAGAGGGGCTAACAGTTGAGTTAATCACCAATGGCCAGTGATACCATCAATCATGCCTACGTAATGAAGCCTCCATAAAAACCCAAGGGAAGTGGGTTCAGGGAGCCACTGGAGAGCTGACTACGTAAAGGTGCCTGGAGGGTGGTCTGCCAAGCCCTGCACCTCTTCCCACATGCCTTGCCCTAGGTATCTCTCCATCTGACTGTTCTTCTGTATCCTTTATAAAACCCTTTACAATAAATGGGTAAATATGTTTCCGTGAATTTTGTGAGCCACTTTAACAAATTAATAAAACCTGAGGAGGGGGGTTATGGGAACCCTAATTTATAGCCAGTCAGTCAGGAGTACAGGCTGCAACCTGGGACTTGCAGTTGGCATCTAAAGTGAGAGGGAGTCTTGAGAGGCTGAGCCCTCAACCTGTGAGATCTGACTCTAACTCTAGGTAGATGTGTCAGAACTGAATTTTAGGACCCCCCCGCCCATGTCCAGTGGAAAATTATTTGGTGTATGGGGAAAATAATTCACCCATCCAGTGTCAGAAGTGTTGTGTTGAGTAGTGTGTGAAAAACAAAAGGACAAGTTTTTCCAATCTCTTACATCTCCTGAAAAGAAATTCAGATTTTATTTCTCCTAAGCTCCTGGATGATGGATTTTAAGAATGAGACTACCTGCCTTTCCTAGTAGGATAAAGATGGGTTGGGGCATGATAGTGACTCTCTTAGGGGCTGAATAGATGTACCTTGCAGGGTGATGTCTCCTGGCATTATTGTTTGTTTGTTTTTTGTTTTTTGTTTTTTTGAGATGGAGTCTCGCTCTGTCACCAGGCTGGAGTGCAGTGGCGTGATCTCAGCTCAACGCAACCTCCGCCTCCTGGGTTCAAGCGATTTTCCTGTTTCAGTCTCCCAAGTAGCTGGGAGTACAGGCACACGCCACCATGCCCGGATAATTTTTTTTTTTTTTTTTGTAATTTTAGCAGAGACAGGGTTTCACCATGCTGGCCAGGCTGATCTTGAACTCCTGACCTCATAATCTGCCTGCCTTGGCCTCCCAAAGTGCTGGGTTTACAGGCATAGCTACCGCGCCTGGCTTCCTGGCACTATTGTTAACAGCACAGCCAAGCCTCAGAGCAGAAACTTTCATTTCTTTTCATGTAACAATTCTAATTATTATTAAAATTATTATATTATCAAAGGTCTGCTCATCGTGTTTAAAAGCAGAAAAAAGTGTCTAAATATTAACAAATGAAATTCAAAGAAATAAAAGTACAGTCTATGGAGTAATAAAATATTTCTATAGCAGAAACAATACATGGCCAGTCATGGTGGCTCATGCCTGTAATCTCAGCACTTTGGGAGGCCAAGGTGGGCGAGTCACTTGGGGTCAGGAGTTTGAGATCAGCCTGGCTAACAGGGTGAAACCCCACCTCTTCTAAAAATACAAAAATTAGCCGGTGTAGTGGTGTATGCCTGTAATCCCAGCTACTCAGGAGGCTGAGGCAGGAGAATTGCTTGAACCTGGTAGACAAAGGTTGCAGTGAGCAGAAATCACATCACTCACTGCACTCCAGCCTGGGTGACAGAGTGAGTGAAACTCTGTCTCAAAAAAATAAATAAAAATTAAAAAAAAATAAGTGCCTAATATATGCTCAAGAAGCAAAGTGAGCCCTTCTGTTATTAAGCAAATGGATAAGTACAAGAGAGTGAGTTTCACTGTTCAGATAATTCCTAAGGAAGGGGCTGTATTATAAGCTCAGGCATTCCGAAGTGGTAGTCCCTGCTCAGAAAGTCATGGGCTATGAATCCTCAGGCCTGGTTCTTCAGCCAAAATTGATGGCTTCCAAGTTGAGGCCCAAGAATATATATGAAATATCAGTGAAATAAGAGCAATGAATCCAGTCCTGGCAAAACAGACAGTGGCGTCTTCTTCGCACTTCACCTCTCTCCTTCAAGGTAGCCATAGCTGTAGTACCTCTAGTTGCTAGGAGCTCTCTCTTTAGGACAACGGCTCAGGTATTGAAAAGCTCTTACTTATGTTGTACTGAAATCTGCCTTCTTTAACTTCTGCTCTTTATCTCTACATCTTGACAGGGCAGAACAAATTTATTCTGCCTGTCACACAAGAGCCTTTTAAATATTTGCAGACAAGGATATGGTATTCCTTTGGTTGACTTTTTTTTCTTCTCTAGGCTAAATGTGATCATTTATGTCAACTATTCCTGACTTCCTGACCCTTACCAACCCATTACTTTTCTTCAAGTTGGTCAAAATCCCTCAAGAATTGTGGTACCTACCAGAGAACCCAGTACTTCAGTGTGGTCTGACCACAGCCCACTGCACTAGGACCAGGGCTTCCTATAATCTCTCCTTCACTTCCCTTCATGCAGTCAAAGACTGGGTTGTTTTTTTCCAGCACACACATCATAATGTTGGAAAATATTCAACTTGTGGATAATTAAAGTCCCCAGTCCTTTCATATGAACAAATGCTCTTTGGGTAATCATCTCCATCCTGAACTTATATGATGGTTTGCTTTTTACCCTAAATATAGAATTCTGCAATTATTTCTGATATATTCCATCTTATTGAGTTAGACAAGAAACTCCAGACTGTCTAGACAATTTTGAATTCTGATTTAGCTCTGTAGCTATAGGTATACTTTCCAGCTTTGTGTCACCTGTAGGTTTAATAAAAATGCCTTTTAACCTATCGATGCATTGCAAAAGTAAAGCAAACTTTTCTGACATTATTGAAAGTGTAGGCTTGGGTACACGATGCAAAATGACTTCTAAATTAGCTACAGCAATTTATAGACAGCCTTTTTCACTTCTCTCCAACCCACCTGCATGACATGCAATACAAAGCACACAAAAAAGAAAAAGAGTCCTACTTAATGTGGGTAGTGAGCAAGGAAGAAAACAGAAAGAAGTAGTGACATTGCTGGTAGCTCTATCTCTATTCCATCCCTGGTCCCAAGAGTGGACATTCTTGTAGTTTTGTCCAGGTATTATCCTTTGGGGATAGAAATGGTTCGTAATGTTTTTATAGTTCATCCTAGACCATGGCTCAGCCTTGCCACCCAACTTCCCTGTCCAGGGAGATCAGAAGCAATAGGTGGCTATCAAGGCATCATTTGAATAGGGTGGATATCAAATACAGCATCCCCATCTGTACAGGACTCAGCCTTTGATAGTTCTTGATCTACCTGCCAGCAACCATTCCTTCCTCCCACTTGCCTTTACCTCCACAGGATCAGTAAGAGCAAGAAAAGTTCTTCTCCTTCTTGATTTATTTCCTCCTACTTAAACCCAGGCAGAGAAACTGGGGCCTAACTTTTATGACCTTGGTGTTAGGAAAACAAAGCTTACTAATAATATTAAGGAATAGAAGTAATTTTATGTCCAGGGCCTGTTGACCAGTATAATGTTTTCTCTGATGCAGTTGACTCTCTGAACCTGAACATATTCTATATAACTTTTACAGCTCCCTTTCCCAAGGGAGATAATCATAACAATAGTCTCTAGGAAATTCCCTTACATGGGCTGATATGTGCTGTCCTTTTTTCCTCATGTCCCAAGATCAGATAATCCAAATGCAACTTTCATAAATGTCCTACACAGTCATCAGAGTGGGAGCTGTAAAGCAAGAGTGGAAGCTAGGACTATATTTAGGAGCTGGCCCTAGGCTTGTGCTTGGATTTCAGCATTGGCTTCTCCTCTTACCAGCCATGTGATCTTGGGCAAATTACTTACCTCTCTATTCCTAAGAGATGGATAAATAAGAATAGAGTTGATGTGATAAGAAGTAATCAAAATAAGTAATACAAACTAGTTAGTACAGTCCCTGGCATACAAACAGTGCTCAATAAAATTAGTTATTATTAAATAGCCTTCTAATATATGTGTTCAGATTTCTTTTTCTACTGTTCAATTTCTGTGCTTTGATCTAAAACAATTAAGAAACATGGTAACAGTGTTACTAGATTTTTAGAATCCTAGCATGTAAAAGATCTAATCCAACCCTTCCTTTGACAGATGATGAAAATGAGGCTCAGGAAGAAAAAAGGAATTTCCTAATGTACACAGTGAGTGAAAGGCAGAGCCAGGACTATAAACTAGATATCCTGACTCCCAATCCTATCCCTAATTATAGCCGCCTTTTTCCCCCTGAGAAAAGAATCAGGATTAACCAAATGCAGATTTAGATGCTAGTATATTTTATATGTAGGAATGTGATAGTTGTTATGGAATATTTGAAAAAAAATGTATTTATATATGTCATTCTGTATAGAGAAATTATAAAAATTATCTATAAATTAGTATGAATAGCAAATGAAGCTTATGTTCAAAACTCCCACTTCCAACCTCCCTGTTTACTCAGCAGCATGGGATTATGGAAAGAACATAGAATTTGGAACGGAGTGAGCTTGGATTCAAATCCCAATTCCACCACTTAACTGCTGGCATGACCTTTATTTAGCAAGTTACTTAGTCCCTTTGAGCCTCAATTTCTTCATCTAGAAAATGGAGATACCGAAACCTGTTTCAGTGATTTTTGTGGTGCATAGGATATATAGTATGGGAACACAGAACCTGGTATAAAGAGATGCCCATCACACATTGGCACCCCTCCTTAGATTTGACTCTCACTTTGCTGTCCTGATTTTGGTGCTCTGCTGGAAGCAAGGCACTGCCAGGTGCTAGCGACATGGGAGCCATATTTGAGAGGAAAGACGGCTGTCTGCTTTGTCATGAGCGGGACGGAAACATGGTTCTTGGAGTTTCCCTCAAGGTCACTTGGGAGCATAATGTTGTTTCCTACAGGACATCAGCTCAGGAAGTATGCCAAGGCCCAGGGTTGCTTACCACAGAGAAATTATCTCAAGATTGTTCAATGTCAGGCCTTGGTATTACTGGCTGGCCTTAGAGCGGTCTGTGCACCAGGCTTATATATCCTAATCCTCCAAGTCTATTATCACCTAACAGCAGCTTTTGGTTTTGGCTCTTGGAGTGTCAACTGCTACAGCCTCCTCTTGGTAAGCTTCCTTATGCATTATGTATTTATAAATATTTATGTAAGGGAGAGGGGTGGGGGGAGGAAGGAAAAGAAGGAAAGAGGGAAGGAAAGAAAGAATGAAGGAAGCAAGCTCAAGGATACAACAGCGATTGGCCTTTGAGAACTAGGAAATAATATTTTGTTCTGAGAGTTAATCTATACAATCAGTCTGTAATGGATCTGATCAGAATATGCAAAGTCGTCTTAAAGTGGTAGAATAGATTATTAGCCAATAAGACTTTTATATCAGTGGTTCCCCAACCTGGCTGATGATCAGAGTCACTTGGGATGCCTGTAAACATTCAGATTCCTAGACTCCTCCACAGACCTAATTATTAGAATTTCCAGTAGAGCTATACAAGCCCGTTATTTCTTTACATGTATCCCAGGTGCTTTTGTGGCAACCGGCTTCTTCCTGGTCAGCAGACTGGCTTTGGGAACCACAGGTGCACTGCAAGAAGTCTCAAAAGGATTAATATATATAAAGAGCAATGTGTTGGTCAACAGAGGGAATGTGGGGAAAAGGGCACACATGGTACACTGGCTCTTGTGTGCATTGTTCAGGAATGGGGGCTTCCGCCACAGTGCCTGAAACATCTAGATCATCTGGAGCAGATTCCTGTTGAGGAGACAGAGGCTCCAGTTGAGCAGAGCCCTATGTTATCAAACATTTGAATAATATAACTCTCTTTGTCAAAGTTCCTTGTTCATTGAGCAACTTTCAGATGATCTCTCTTCCCATGCAACTGGCCTGTAGGGAGAAAAGGGACAGATCAGGCCAAATGTTTCCCACTGTAAATTAATAAACTGGCATTCTGGTTATATATCAGTCTCTTGTGGATTAGTATGAGTCAGCATCTCTTAGTCTGATCAACTCAGAGGCTCTGTCAAGATCCAGTTTCTGATGCTGTAAAGCTGAGGGCCCAACCCTAGACCTCAGTGTATTCATCAGAGTAAATGTGTCCCAGGAGGTCAGCCAGTTAGCATTTCCTGGAGAAAGGAGGTGAGAAGGAACCCATTTCCCAGGGAAACACGGTATGGAAGACCTTCTTGATGCTTTACTGGGTACATGAACTGGGTGAGGTTCTTATAAGAACAGTTCTTTAAAAAGCCTTTTCTGTTCTCAAAGGGTTTTCACATATATTAGCTCATTTGATATTCACAACAATCCTGGGAGGTAGGTCAGGCATATATATTATTATTATTACTTCAGAGATGAGGAATCTGAGCGCATAGTCACTTACCTAAGATCCAAAGTAATGACAAAAGTGGGAGGAGAATCCAGGTCTTTTGACTCTTAGACATTATTCTTTTCACTTCCTCTCTCATTTAACAAAGTAAATACCATAAGCAGACCCATAAAGGAGCAATAGAAACACTTGAATGGGATAGTGTGGGACTGTGTTTGCATGTCTTTGTGTTAGGGGCTGGGTTAAGGCTACAGACATGGAAAGGCAAGTTGACAGACAGCACGGTAGAAGAGAAATCAGGCCAGTGGTGCTAATAAGAAAGCACACTCAATTTTTTTCTTAGTTTAGAAGAATGAAGTCTGATTCAGTTTAATTGAACAAATTATTTACTGAGCACCTATTGTGTGCAAGGCCTTGTGTACTAAGTGCTACCAATCGGAGCAAAGTTTAGAAAAGAACATTTTGAAACATGTATTTTGGTGTGAAGAGTGACCCTGAAATCATTTTCCTTCTTTAATCACAGCATCGAAAAATGCAACCCACAACCAGGGTATTTAAGGGAAAATGGGAATGGGGAGAAGCTGATTGTAACTAGAATTCTGGCAGCCAAGACCATTTGGAAATTTGGGCTTGATGACTCTCATTAAGGATGGATGTTCGTGCAAAATTTTGCTGGGCAAATATGAAGGGATGCAGCTTCCTCGACATTTTTCCATCTTTATATTTTATGTCTTTAAGTCCTTGGTGACTTCACTGGTGACAGTTTCCAAAATAAGTCCTGTTTTTTTGTGTCTTTTTAAATTTTTTTTTACAATGGCATGAAAACAAAATGTAGACTCCAGTGGCCCAGGATTTGTGAAAAGGGCAGGTCCCAGGGCTCCTCTTTCTCCTACTCTAACAAGGGCTTCAGTGTGATCTACAGCTGGGAAGAGGGGTTCCAGCCGGACATCTGTTAGCGAGCCTACAAACAATGCCCTACGGCTTGCTCCAGTCTTTGCGTTTTGCTAACTGGTTGATCATGTTTTCACTTCATAAATCTGTACATTCTAATGTGAGCACTAGCGGGGTAGCAAAAGGAGGGAGAGCTAGCTGCCTGTTCCCCACCCGATAGGTTCATGTCTGGCTGGATCAGCCTCCCACCTCTCTGGCTGATTCATCAGGCTCAGTCTATTCAAACAGATGGAACTTCTATTTAGGTATTTTAATAGCATGTATTTAAGATATCCTATTGAGAATCTGATCTGACAGAGGTTTGATGAAGTGTTAATGTGCTGAGAAACCAGGCTCACTAGGCACATAACTTCTTTCCCCAAACCAGATAATTTAAATCAATTTAGTTAGTACTTAACTGAGGGACTACTGTGCACCAGTATGTGTCTAGCATTGAATTAAGAGAGCCAGGAAAGAAGCAGAATGCTTGGCACACAAGCCCTTGGAAACTTCTACTCTCTCTGGGGAGAAATGGTACATGGATGGATGCATTTGAAGTTTACAAACATCATTAACTACTGTGTGCAAGGGGTTTGAGCATATAGTCAGAGTAGTGGCCACAATACCTCTTTTATATCAAGCCTACCTCAAGCAATTCAAAGGCAAATGGCTTTCTATTGTCTCTTATGATTAGAAAAATGGAATAAAAGGTCTAACATTGAGCACTTCAGTTAGATATACTGCACACTCTTCAATGCACCAAGTTCCTTTTTGACACCATGCTATTTATTGCTTCTGTTATTGCCCTGACTTTAGGGGATATCCACTCCCCAACCTGCTGTACTATTCAATTCTGATCCTTCTTTTTTGATCAAATTTGACCTTTTCCAAAAAGTTTTTGCTCCCAACCTTCAGGCAATCATGATAATGACAATATCTTTCTTTCATAGCCTTTACTATTAGTACCATGCCCTTTGGATCTTCAACTGAGTAACAGCATATACTGTCTTGTATTGGTCTTGAATCTTGCAGGTTTCTAACACTTGAATATACAACAATACAGTAAGCCCTTTAAGGATAAAGGTCAATTTATATTTGTTCAGTTAATATTTGCTCAGTACTGGCTCTGTACTATATCATAATTGCAGTGAAAACAAATATGTACAAATGAGAAAAGATTCTTACAAGTAGGGCATGGTGGCTCATGCCTGTAATCCCAACACCTTGGGAGGCCGAGGTGGGAGGACTGCTTGAGGCCAGGAGTTCGAGACCAGCCCTAGCAACACCTCATCTCTACAAAAACTACAAATTTAAAAATACATATATCTTGCTCTCAAAGAGCTCACACATTTTGCTACTCTGAAATGGAATGATAATCTCCTTCTGAAAAGCACTTAGCATAGTGCCAGCTACAGAGTAAGTCTTCTCTAAACAAATGCCATTATTAGTTATTATTTCTTTTAGACTAAATGGAAGAGTGGGAAGTGGAAATAAGAACCGAGAAAGGAAGTTGCAACTGTTAAGATGCTTTTGGAGGCAGGTAACAGAAAACTCAAAAGACTTAAACAGTAAAGGAAATGTATTGGTTCTCCTAAATGAAAAAGTCCAGAAGTAGAGTAATGATTGGTTGTGATTCAATGAGGGCTTTGGCTTCATTTCTCTGTGATTCTTTTGGTACTGCTCTCCCCCTGCATTGGCTTTATCCTCAGGCAGGTAGCAAGATGACTACAATAACTCCAGGATTCACGTTTACACACAACATGCAGAGAAAGAGAGGATTCATCTCTTCTGATGAATTACTTTCATAAAGTTACTTTCTTAAAAGTAACTTACTTCTTTCATCAAAGCCCCAGCAAATCTCCCTTCTCATCTCAGTGTACCAACTGAGTCACAAGCTTTTTTTCAACCTATTCCTTGGTTTAGGCTAGGTTCCTGACCCAGGTACAGGTTAGAGGATGTGATTACTATTTCGGTTAGGACTTAAACTGCAATGGCAGTCAACCCCCAAATCTCAGTGGCTATTTAATACAGCTAAAATTTTATTGCTCTCACTACATGCCAGTGTGGGTCAGCAGGGGGCGCTCTACCATTATAGTCACCCTAGGACAGAGGCTAATGGAGGCTTCACCTTGACACAGGCTTTAGCAATCATTGTAGCAGAGGGAAGGGGGTCTGGTGAATCACACACTGGCTTTTAAAGGCGTTTGCGTAGAAGTGACATATATCATTTCTATTCACATTTTACTGGCCAAAGCAAGTCATATGGTCACTCCTAACTTCAACAAGCTGGGAAATACAATTCTACTATGTACCAAGGAGAACCAGAATATTTAGGAACAGCCCCAATTACTACTGTAATTACCCTTGGCTCAATCAGGACCAGCTGTGGATATGACTATAGCATTAGCTTCTCTTAAAACACATGTACTTCCTTGGTAAGGGGATCCCTTAATAAAAATCAGATATTATAAGGAAGGAAGCAATAGATGCTAAGTAGGCAAACAGTAATGTTTATTATAGAAGTTCTATGAAGGCAAACTGGTTTCAGACATCAAATAGAGAAAGCAAGACCATGAACAGATTGGCAAAGGTTGAGAAGCAGCTACTATAAGAATGTAGCCACCTAGAGATCTGCACAGCAGAAAGGGCCCAGATGAAAATAGGCAGCAAGGCCAAAAGTGCATGCGTTAGTCTCTTTGCTGTTGCACTTCCCAGCCCAGGAGTGGGATCATAAGAAGCAGATCAGGAAGAGTAGAAATGATGAATGATTTGACTGGCTTTGTGGGAGGTCTTGGGTTGTTGAAGGATCGAAGAAGCCAAAGGGTTCTCCAACGGGCAGTAGGACCCAAATGAAATTTGGGCAAAAGTCGTATTTTTAAACTAGGATAAGTCCTTGAGAAGGAACCTACAACAGAAACAAAGACTGTAGTAGATGGTACACACAGATGAAATGTTATTCAAATATTGAAAAATGGAGGACAGCAATCTCAAAGAAATAGTGAAACAAAGGCCTTCTGTCCCACAGGGCCTTACAGGTGTTAAAAAAAGGTTTCCATGGGAGAAGACAGTGTAAGTTTACATTAGAGCTGTGTTTCTACCCAGGGGAGGCAACACAATTTATAAAAAAAAGAACTCTAAGACCAGGTCCAATGGCTCAGGCCTGTAATCCTAGCACTTTGGGAGGCTGAGGTGGGAGGATTGCTTGAGGCCAGCAGTTCAAGGCCAACCTGGCCAACATAGTGAGACCACATCTCAAAAAAACAAAAAAGAAAGAGAAGGAAAAGAAAGGAAAGGAAAAGAAAAGAAGAGAAACTCTAGATCTGCAGTTAAGAAAATCAGGTTTGAGTCCCAGCAGTGACTACAAATAGCTTGAAATGGGTAAATCAGCATAAACTTCTTTCAACTTGTTTCCTCAGCAGAAGAAAAGGGATAAAAATGCCTCCTCTATCTTCCTCAAAGCTTTATGTAAAAATCGAATTAGACAGGAAAGCCTCTTGATAGACTAAAAAGCCCTAGTGTATGTATGGAATTTTAATACTGAAGTGAGTCAGTGGCAGGGGTTGAGAAGGTTAAGGATATGGGCAAAATGCTGTCTCCAATTGAATAGGGCCCAGAGGGAACTATAGAAGTGGAGATAACAGTAGGCTGACAGGTCTTGTCTTGGTCAGTTCTTTTAATTGCAAGGGATAAAAACCCATCTCAAATTGGCCCAAGAATAAAATAAAATGTATTGATTCACATAACAGAAAATCATTGTAAGGGTAAGAATGGCTACAAGTGTGGCAGAATTTAGGAGCTCAAGTGTCATGATTGGAAATCTGTCTCTCTCCACCTCTAGTCTCTGTCTTAGCAATCCTTGTAGAAAAAAAGAGTGGCTTTTTTTTTTTTTTTCCATTTCAACAAAAACCCTTAGGTAACTTGATTGTCCTGGAACCCATATCCAGTCACTATGATGGGTGTCAATCCCAGCTGAATCACATGGATGGAGAGTGGGGAAGGAATAAAAACTGTGGGGAAGTAAATGAAAACCACTCATGTTCACCATAGGAAGTAGGTTTAAGAGGCTTGCTCCAGAAGTGATATGGCGGAGAAGAGGATGCAGGAAAGAGGAGGGAAGAAAATCAAGGGAGGATCCAAGGTGTAGCCTAGGTAGAGTATCACTCAAGGAGAAAGGCAACTTTAGAAAGGGACTTACCAAGCTCATTTTGGGGGATGGGGAGGTGGTGTGGAAAGACATCTGTGAGTCAAATAAGGGGAGGGCAGCGAGGACATAGTTAAGAATTCCCAAACTGGCCCAAAATACTTTTTGAGAAATAGTAGCGTAGGAGGGAAAAGCAGCCACTGTCATATTCTTTCAGTTAGTTCTTTGCTTGGTGAGTGTTTTGTTCCCAACTGTTGGTAGGGGCAGGGGAGGAGGTGAGAGGGGTAAGAAGGCTACATCAGTAGGAAGCAGCCAGATGCCTAAATGATGTTGGAAACATGGACACAGATGCCCGTAACATTGTGATAATTTTATAGCTTAATGAGTCTCAGTGAAAAAAGCAGCAAAGAAATTATCACTAAATTTACTAGAAGTTAAGGCCTGTAAGAAATGTGAAATGTGACTGACATATACCACACGGTAGGTCCTCCCCACCCACACACTAAACATAAAGGCCCACCCTGTCTTGCCTTTTTTCCACCCTCCTACATACACATAATACCTGCACACAGGCACATAGCAGCAGGAAAGATTCCCTTGGAACATTGTCAGAATCATTCTTGAGACCTCCCAGGTAGCTCACTACCCTGAAATGAAAAGCTGCCAGCCTCCGGTTTTTGAAGCTGGTAGAATAGGGCTGATTAACGCTGACTCCATACTGCACAAATACTGTGAGAGGCAATTTCGCTCTGGATCCATCCTCTCAATGCTAACAACTGCCATCACTACCACCCCTGATATAGGTACCGTTCCAAGCATGTTCAAACAGAAGGGCCTCACCTCCATGCTTAACCAAATGAAGCTATCAGCCCACTGCTGATCCTGTACTTGAAGGCTTGACTATTACAGAGAATTGGAGCATACAGATCACAGTTCCAGATTAAGGCACTAGAAGGCTAGGATGAATCCAGTATGACTCAGAGACTGAATCCCGGGGAAAAATGTAAAGGGTGACTTAGATAACCTAATTCCTTCCTGGGGGGGGTTTGTCTGGAATTCCTGAATTCTTACCTCATATGCATATATGCATATTTCCTATTAATCTCTCCTTTGTAGTTATTGCCAGGAAATCTCTGATCACAGACCCTAGAGTTCTGGTATTCTCTGTTGACTCCCACATCCCACAAGAGACATCTTGTACTACTCTCCATTGGATAACAGTAATTACTGCAGATAGTACAGGAAGAAGTATTACTTCAAAAAGAAATAGCACAGAAACACAGAACATATGACCCAGCAATTCCTAGGTATATACTCCCCAAAATTGAAAACAGGTACTCAAACAAATACTTATAGAAACATTCATAGCAGCGCTATCCACAATAGCCAAAATATAGAAACAACCTAAATTCATCAATAGCTGAATGGATAAACAAATTGTGGTATATACATATAATGGGATACTACTTAGCCATAAAAAGGAACAAAATACTGATACATGCTGCAACATGTAAAAACCTTAAAAACATGTTAAGTGAAAAAGCCAGACATAAAAGATCACATACCATATGACCCCATTTATATGGAATATTCATTAAAAGTAAATCCACAGAGACAGAAAGAAGACTGGTGGTTGCCAAGGGTTGGGGGAAAGGGAGAATTAGGAGTAAATGTTTTACAGATACTGGGTTTTCTTTTGGGGTGATAAAAGTGTTTTGCAACTGAATAGAGGTGGGGGTTACATAATACCATGAATATACTAATTGCCACTGAATCGTTCACTTTAAAATGGTTAATTTTATGTCAAGTGAATTTCACCACACACACAAAAAAAGTGGGGGAATACTGATTCAGCTGGCATGCACATGTATCCCCCAATACCCTCCTTTCTTTCTACCTGAAGGTGAGGGTGGATCAGGCATTATGAAGCAACAAGCATTTGCCAAAGCAGGCTAAGCATAAAGATAAAAGGAACCTGGGTCTTTGATATCATGAAGGCAACCACAGAACCACCATTTTTTATGAAAATAAAACTCCTAGATTTAAGAACAAAACAAACAGCATAATCTTTGTTCTTTACAAATGTCCTCTTTAAAGAGTGATCTTAAGGTAGACTAAGTGAACAAATTAATGTGCAAGTCTTGGGCTAGATGTATTTTTGGTTAAGGGGCTTCACCAGGTGCTGGGAAAATGCCCTTTGCTACACAGATCAGCACTTACCATCCGTAAGCATTCCAAACAGGAAGTTCTGGACAAAAAAATTAATACAAAATAGCATCACAGATATTAGGTATAGAAATAACGACAGAAATGGAAAATAGCAGCCCTTTATATAAGGTCCATAGTTTACTCATGGCCTGAAGAAGTTGCCACTTAATTGTTTATTCATTCAACAAATAGGTATTAATGACTATGTGCCAGGCATTGAGCCAGAATACTACAGGGAGCAAGAAAGATAAAGCTTCTGCTCTCATGGAGTGTACATTCTAGTGGGGCGGGAGAGGATAAGTAATAAACATATGAGCAATTTAACATACAATATCTATTAATACATGCATCTAGATCAACACATTGGACTTCCAACTCTCCTCTGATTTAGGACTGGCTCTTAGCTCCTCCATCTCTGGCATAGCTTCACAGGATGCTCAGGTTCCTCAGTTACCCAGAAGTCAGAGCTTCGTCAATGTCACACTATTGGTCTCAGTAATTAAAAACTTCAGTTCCTTATCGCCATTACTGCAGTTTCCTTCCATTCTATCCTACTTCAAGAAAAAAGCAACAAACAAAACACATTACCCCAACCATCCCCAACCCACCTCCCCACTGGGAAAAAATAAACCAGAAACAAAATCCATTCGTTCCCAAGAACAAAGAGCCTACAAACAAAGTAAAACCTACCTTTCAGGTAGAGGGTGGGGGAGGAGAGGAGGGTGGGCACAGCATTCAGGTAAAAAACTTGTATATGAGGAAAAATGCAAATAATCATTAAGTACAATACATAACGTTATTCGTGTAACTCTAGCACCTGAAGAAGATGCCCTAGACCAGTGCTGTCCAATAGAAATAGAATTTAAGCTACAAATGTGAGCCGTTTATGTAGACTTACATGTTCAGTCATATTAAAAGAAGTAAAAAAAAAAAGGTAAAATTATTTTTAACATTATATTTCTTTAATTCAATTGATTCTATGCTATTCTTTTCAATGTATATTCTATATAAAAAATTAAGATATGTTACATTCTTTCTTCTCATGCTGGGTCTTCAAAATTCAGCATATATTATATATTTATGGCCTACCTCAATTTGGACTAGATACATTTCAAGTGCATGCTAGCAACCAAGCTACCTTATTGAACACTGCAGCCCTAGACAAAGTACTCACTTAATTCCCTTTTCTAAAAACACTAAAGCTAATGGCTACTAGAATTAAAGCCTCTAAACATCTCATTGGCTATGCCCTAGAAGCTATATCCCAGCATCCCCTACTGATGGTCCTGGAGACACAGCCCTAGGTAACATGTTCCACAAATGAACGTAATTAACTGATTAAGAACATAATTAACTGACTTGCCATTCAGGCAGGAACAAAATGATGAGCCCTGGTGGAGAAAAGGCTATGTTCTCCCTAGTGCCAATTCTGTCCATCTATCCATTCAACATTTATTGAGACCCTACTACTTGCCAGAATTAATTCTATATGCCCCCAAGGAGCTTACAGTCTTTTGAGGGGTTGATAGACATAAACAATCAAATAAGAAATAAACAAGTTCATTTCAAATAATTTTTCTATGAAGAAAATAAAACAAAAATATGATAGTGGAAGCGATTCCTTTAGAGAAAGGAGAAGACTGACTTCTGTGAGGTGGTACTGAAGCTGAGAATGAAATAACAGGGACAAGTGCGAAGTATACCACTAGGGCAAAGATCTAAGGCAGGAAAAAGGCTGGCTTATTTGAGAAACACAGAGAATGTCAATATGGTTAGAGAGTAGACTAGCAGATGTAGGTAGCCAGGGGCTAGACCATGTAAAGCCTAGTGAATAGAGTAAGTTTGGATGTTATTCTAAGAAAAATCAATTAAGGGTTTTAAGGGGAGTGAGATAATCTAATTTAGATTTAAAAGATCCCTTTGTGTGTGGGAAATGGTTAAAATGCATGTGTGTGTGAGAGGGGGATAAGCATGGAAGCAGGGAGACCAGTTGGGAGGATGCTGGAGTAGTCAAGGTGAGAGTTCATGTGGCTGGGAGTAGGGTGGAGGTGGTGGAAGCAATGAAGTCAGATTTAGAGTATAGTTTCAATTTATTAGCAAGTCCTGTCACCTCTACTTTCGAAATCAGATTATATTTTGAGTCTAACAGGACTTGCTGGTAAGTTGGATGTGGGATTAAACTATTAAGACTTTTGGCTTGAGCTTGTAAGTAAAATGGTGGTGACATTTACTGAGTCTGGAACAGAAGGAAAACCTGCTTCTCCTCCTATATTTATAATGGTGTTAATGGAATTACTAACCAGCTTGACACCTGAGAATCATCCAAGACACTGCCCTATCCAAACAGTCACCAAATCTCATTAATTTTACCTCCCCAGAGTTTCTTAAATTTGTCCCCACTTTCTCATCCCCACTGACTTGCTCAGGTCTTTTGATCAAATTACTTACCAAGACTATTGAAATGGCCTTAATAATCTCTAGGTTTAAACTCCAATCCAGTATCAATACTACAAATTACTCCTCTGCTTAAAATCATCCAGCAATCTTTTTGAAGAGCAGTTTAGCAGTATATATCAGAGTTTAAAATAGACATGCCCTTTGTTTGGCTATTTCTTTTTTATGATTCTATTCTGTAGAAATACTCGAAGAGAATGAAAATGAGTAATTGATTATAGCATGTAATAGTGAAAAACTGGACACTATCTAAATGCCCGTCAATAAAGGAATTTTTACGTAAACCATTATACAACTATAAAATTCTATTTTGTTTTTTAAAATGAAGATCTAAACATACTGAATGGAAAGCTCTCCAAGATATTTCAAAACCAAATGGCAATGTGTATGATATGATTCCATTTGTGTAAAAAGCACTGTAGTATGTATGTGTGGTTTCTAAAGGCCTAGAAAAGGTCTGGGAGGATACACATTAAACTATCAACAATGATTACCTCAGTGTAGTAAGATAGTGGTGGGCTGGGGAGTTTTCATTTTTTACCATATATATTTCCTATTGAATGAATTTTTAAATAATTAAAACATTAACAAAAAACTGTACAACCATCCTGTATGCCCCAATGATTCAAGGCATTTTCAGACCTGGCACCAGCCTTCTTTCCAGACTAATTGCTCAGACTTATTTACATTAGGTAGGCCATTATGCACTTCTGCATTATGGGAAACGTGGGTTGACTGGTTGACTGTTGAAACTGGATTGTGTACTAGGCCTACCTGCTTTGCAACTAGAATAGGAAAGGCCACCTCTGATACTCAGAAGGTCATGAAGCTCTTTCTGAGGAGAAGCTAAGGTACTTGTTCCTGCCCTGAGGACATGCCAAAATAGGTTCATTCCTTTAGCTCTTCAAAGGAAGAAGTAAAATTTCATAACTCTTTCCCCTTCCCAACCCATTTTTGCATTAGATGTTTTAAAAGTACCTGTACTTATCTTGTTCACTGTTTAGTTTGCTTCTTTTGTAGCAGAAAGAGCCAACAAAATTGACAGTAAATTTACTATAGTGCCAGTTCTTTTCTGGAAATCTTCCTCATTTTTAGATATTAAAAAAAATAAAGTGATAGTAGCTCAGCTCTGCTAGAGATGACATAAAGTAGCTTTAGTGGAAACAAAACAAAGGTGAAATTACACCAATTTCTAAATTCTAAAGATTTTCGTATTTGTTTTTTGATTGTTATTTTCTACTTTTAAACTCAAGAATAAAGAGAATAAGAAAGTACATATGTAAGTCTTTCAATTGTGGTCCTGGCTGGAAACCTAGCCATCAAGCCAACTGCTAGAAAAGAAAATGAACTGTTCTTCCCAAACTTGTTTCCATTCAGTGTCCACTTGTCTCAGATAATACCAACAAGTTATGAAATGAATGAATTATTTCTCCCTCACTCATTCAGATGACTAGAAACGAAGTAACTTGGCAAGATGAGGAAGGAGAAACCAAATTAACTCATGCTTTTGCTGTGCTTTGCTACAACCTCAATTCTAAACCTGCCACCTACATTAATCCCTTAATTAAAATATCCTTCACCTGGTTTGAATTACCCTAGCATATGAGAAGACCAAAAAAGAGCCCAAATAGCCAAAGCAATCCTAAGCAAAAAGAACAAAGCCAGAGGCATCACACTACCCGACTTCAAACTATACTGCGACGCTACAGTAACCAAAATAGCATGGTACTGGTATAAAAACAGACACATAGACTAATGGAACAGAAAATAGGAAACCCAGAAATAAAGCCACACACCTACAATCATCCAATCTTTGACAAAATCAACAAAAACAGGCAATGGAGAAAGGACTCCCTATTCAATATAGTGGTGCTAGGATAACTGGCTAGCCATATGCAGAAGACTGAAACTGGACCCCCTCCTTTCATCATATACAAAAATCAACTGAAGATGAATGAAAGACTTAAATATAAAACCTAAAACTACAAAAACCCTAGAAGAAAACCTAGGAAATACCATTCTGGACATAGGCCCTGGCAAACATTTTATAATGAAGATTCAAAAACAATTGCAATAAAAACAAAAACTGACAAATGGGACCTAATTAAACTTAAGAGCTTCTGCACAGCGAATGAAACTATCAATAGAGTAAACAACCTACAGAACAGGAGAAAATATTTGCAAAGTGCATTCAACAAAGGTCTAATATCCAGAATCGATAAGGAACTTAAATCAACAAGCAAAAAATAAACAACTCCATTTAAAAAATGGGCAAAAAAATATAAACAGACATTTCTCAAAAGAAGACATACATGTGGCCAACAAGCATACGAAAAAATGTTCAGTCTCACTAATCATTAGAGAAATGCAAATCGAAACCACAATGAGACATCTCACACTAGTCAGAATGGCTATTATTAAAAAGTCAAAAAATAGCAGATGCTGGCAAGGTTGCAGAGAAAAAGGAATGCTTATACATTGCTGGCCAGAATGTAAACTAGTTCAGCCACTGTGGAATGCAGTCTGGAAATTTCTCAAAGAGCTTAAAACAATAGAGCTATTAGGCTGGGCTATTCTCAAAGAGCTATTCTCAAAGAGCTATTGGGCCGGGCATGGTGGCTCACACCTGTAATCCCAGCACACTTTGGGAGGCCGAGACAGGCAGATCACCTGAGGTCGGAGACCAGCCAGGCCAACAAGGTGAAACCCTGTCTCTACTAAAAATACAGAAATTGGCCAGGCATGGTGGCTCACACCTGTAATCCCAGCACTTTGGGAGGCCAAGGCGGGTGGATCACCTGTGGTCAGGAGTTTGAGGCTAGCCTGGCCAACATGGCAAAACCCCTTCTCTACTAAAAATATAAAAATTAGCTGAGCGTGGTGGTGCGCACCTGTAATCCCAGCTACTTGGGAGGCTGAGGCAGAAGAATCGCTTGAACCTGGGAGGTGGAGGTTGCAGTGAGCCGAGATCGCGCCATTGCACTCCAGCCTGGGCGACAAGAACGAAATTCTGTCTCAAAAAAAAAAAAAAACAAAACAGAAAGTAGCCAGGTGTGGGGGCACACACTTGTAATCCCAGCTACTCAGGAGGCTGAGGCACGAGAATTGCTTGAACCTGAGAGGCGGAGTGAGCTGAGATCATGCCACTGCACTCCAGCCTGGGCAAGAGTGAGACTGTTTCAAAAAAAAAAAAAAAAAACCACACACACACCCCAAATAGAGCTACCATTTAACTCAGCAATCCCATTACTGGGTATATACCCAAGGAAATGTAAGTCATTCTGCCATAAAAACACATGCCCATCACTGGTGGACTGGATAAAGAAAATGTGGTACATATACACCATGGAACACCACACAGTCATAAAAAAGAATGAAATCCTGTCTTTTGCAGCAATATGGATGGAGCTGGAGGCCATTATCCCAGGCAAATTAATGCAAGAATAGAAGACCAAACACCCCATGTTCTCACTTATAAGTGGTAACTAAACACTGAGTACACATGGACACAAAGAGGGCCTTCTTGAGGGTGGAAGGTGGGAGGAGGGTGAGGACTGAAAAACTACCTATCTGATACAATGCTTATTACCTGGGTGGCAAAATAATCTGTACACTAAACTCCATGACACGCAATTTACCTATACAGAAAACCTGCACGTCATATACCCCTGAGCCTAAAAGTTGGAAGAGATAAAGAATCACTCTGCATCCCACAAATATGTACAATTATTGTGTCAACTAAAAATAAGAGGAACATAGAAACAAAAATCCCCCTCATTGCCCCGCTCCCTTTGCTCACTACTGTAAAAACTTCAGGGAAGATCTGCTACACAAACTTGTGTTGATGGTACTAGGGGGAGTAAAGGACAGGTGGTGTAGAGGACAGATGGAAAACCAGGGAAGCAGAAAGGCGAAGCCAGAGGATACAAGCTCCCTGCCTACTCTCCCCGGTCCCCTACCACCTGCAAAAAAGAACTGTCATCTCCCAAAAGAAATGATACTAGAAGAAGTAGTCCAACATGTTAGGATAAAAAGTTCTATTTAAATCTTAAAGGACAGTGGGAAAGTTGGGACACTTGTTCAGCTGACACTTGAGATACACGAATATAGTCAACCGCATTCAGGGAAACCAAGTTCCTCCATCATCACTTATGGGCTGTGTGTGGTGGTGACTCTAGTTTTCCTGGGGTCAAGAAACACAGTGACTACATGTATCTACCAACCTTGGGTGTGAGCCTGCCCTTACTAGAGCTTCAGAGGCTAATCGGCAGGGCTCCCATTTTTGGTCCTTCTGTCACTGACTGTCTCTCCTCACCAGATTATTGTGCCACTCAAGAGACAAACCTATCTGATAAAGTAATATAAATTCTATTGAGTCTTATTAGATGTCACTGAAAGGGAGGTAGTTACCTATTAAATTATATCTTCCCATTGATTTTGAGTATAAATTTAGAGACGTTTATCCGAGAAAATGATAAACTCTGGATTTTTTCATTTTACTTAACTGAGGGTCTACTCACCCAAAAATCCTAGCATCAACCTAAAAAGACCTTGCTTTTGACACTCTACTATTTCTTTCATTAAATGTGTTTGATTCTTTTTCAAAATGAAAATATCTTTTTCATAATAATATATTAAGATCACTGTAATTCTCATCCCTAATTTATATATATACATTTATATATGTATACCTACCTCACAGATTATAAAAGATTGAATGAGTTAACATATATAAAGCACTTAAAATAGTGTCTGGCACACAGTTCACTATATGTTAGCTACTTTCTTCTTCACACACACACACCCCTAGAAAAACTGAATCCTATATTTAACACATTATGGATATCTTTTCCTCTCAATACATTCTTTTTTGGGGAGGGATGGGATCTCATTACATTACCCAGGCTAGCCTTGAACTCCTGGCTCAAACAATCTTCCTGCCTTGGCCTCCTGAGTACTTAGGACTAAATACAGATTTAGTGAGTATATCTATCTTTCTATTCTATTTCAAATACTGCTGCAATGAATACCTTTATTCTTACCTCCATATTCACTTGTGACATTTTCCCATAACACGAATTCTACATATACATGAACACACTTACAAAAAATAGTTTAAAAAATTAACTACATTTTAAAAATTAACATCTGATTACCATTTTATTTAAATTAACTTCTAGAACTATAAAAGTTTAAAAAACAATGTTTAAAAGCTGAAGAGCATTGCTTCTTGGTCTTTTGGCTAAGATCAAGTGTAAAAGTTGAATACTTTACGTATACAAGGTACAAAGGCATCTTATTGCACAAAAAGTTTAGATCCCATATGCATCTATCATTTGAAATATGACTAATAAAAAAGTCTTTAACATTTTTTTAATGGGAAGAATATTCATTTTAATATGCCCCAAGATGTTACAGAACTTAAAATGAACAAACTTCAGTCAGTATAAAACAGATTTATTGTCAACATTCAGTCATTAACACAACCCAGGTAAATGAAACATCACTCCATACAAGGCTCATATATTCTTTACATGTGTACTATAAAATGATAAATACTTAAAAATTACAATGCAAGGAAAAATATTGTAAGATATACAATTGTTACAGACCCTTGTGTGAAAGTTCTTTATTTTTAAAGTTCTGCCTTAGGGAAAATACCATGCTACATATCAGAACCCAAAATAAACTGTTTCCTGAGGTTACAATGCTCAATGGTATACTGGATGCACCCTAAAATACTGTGTCTGACAAAAATTAAAAGAGAGACAGCCTTCAATGATGTTTAGAAAGAGGGAGAGTGACAGAGAGAGAGAAGAGTAATCAATTATTCTGTTGATTTCTGCTGGAATGGCCTCATTAAACAATTTATAGCACTGACAAGAGGTCTGTACCCAAAGGGAACAAAACCAGGACCAGTCTCAGCTTTACATAAAGGATTTCCAAATCAGACTAACTGACACAGTTCTAAGGCACTGTTACCAATGCTTGTCACTCTTCAACCCTTCACAGAGACTTCTTGTCTTACGTCCATGTTTTTCTAATTTCTTCCTAAGGGTTTACCAATTATACTTCTGTTTTCTATCATCCTAAATCCAAACCAAAAGACATTAAGCAATACAATAAAATCTACCAGTCTGGTCAGTTCTAAAGACACAAATTCTGGTTTAGACATTAATCATAAGACTCAAGTATATCTCTCCCCCTTCCACACACGCTCCCACCTCCCCTTACATATTGATCCATCTCAATTTTGAGGAAATGCTCAAATTCTAAGCAAAATTTCAGGATTTTTTCCCCCAATCAGTGATTTGACTGTTGGCAAGCTGCTTTGGTGGGCAGCAGTATAAGAAATTGTTTGGAATGCCTGGCTAGAACAGATAAAATGGATGTGATCAGTGAATTATTGTAACCTATTGTAGTAAACAGATGGATGGGAAGGATTTACCTTATGAACTTCCCTCACTCATTTCAGAAGGGAGAAAATTATGTCTTAATAAGGCAAGAAAAAAATCAGATAAGAAAATACAGCACTTTGGGAGGCCGAGGCGGGTGGATCATGAGGTCAGGAGATCGAGATCATCCTGGCTAACATGGTGAAACCCTGCCTCTACTAAAAATACAAAAATTAGCCAGGCATGGTGGCAGGCACCTGTAATCCCAGCTACTCGGGAGGCTGAGGCAGGAGAATCGCTTGAACCCAGGAGGCAGAGGTTGCAGTGAGCCGAGATCACGCCATTGCACTCCAGCCTGGGGTACAAGAGTGAGACTTCATCTCCAAAAAAAAAAAAAAAAGAAAAGAAAATACAGTAAAATATTAATACTGTAGTGACAGCAAGGAAGGGTAGGATTCTCAGCACCCTACCTTGCTGGGAAAGTTTCTGGCATAAAAGTCAAACTCTCTACCATCAATCTTTGCACAAGGATGGACAGTTGCTTACATCAAGAGGGGCAGAAAGCCACTTAAATACTTTTCTTCAAAGATGAGACATTCCTTTTTGAACTGAGCATTAGAGAAAGGAGAAAGAATTAGGGAAAGCTCACTCAAAGAGGTCCTCAAACATGCGTTGTCCCATTGCTATATATGCTTCCTTTTCTTCTGGTGTCATCTGGGCCACTAGCTCTGGCCGTTGGCTCACTTCACTGTAGGAGAACGGACGGCCAGCCACCATGACAATGGGGTCATCTGCTACTTCTTCAAACTCGTCATCTTCCTCTTCATCCTCTTCTCGTTTATGCACAGCCACAGCTGCCGGACGGGGTGGAGAATCATCATCTGACTCACTGGTCTCGCTTTCTGAGTCACTGCCATTGGCAGCGGTCACTGGAGCAGCTGCCCCCACTGAACCAGCCATGGCAGAGGAAGTCTTTTTCTCGTGAATGAGCAGTGCTCGCATGACCTCTTCGTTGTCATCAGGCCCAGCATGGCCTTCCTCACGCTCCTGAAATGCGTCCATATCTATGCCCCCTGGGGAGTAAAACTCAGAAAGTCAATATCCTTAAATATAAATGGCATTTCTTTATAGCATATAGACAATATTTTAACATATATTTAAATAATACGATAAAATAACAGACTTCACTGGTTCCATTTTTGAGCTGCTATCCATAAAATATTCAAAATATTTCTTACAAACTGGAGCTTAAGTAGCATAATGGTCAAGTACATTGGCTTTAAGAGTATTATAGCATAGATTTGAATCCTGGTTCTTCTACACACAAGCATCTTGGGCAAGTTATTTAATCTCTAAACTTCAATACCTTTTTCTGTAAAATGAGGTGATAAAAGCATCTACTTTCTAAGGTTCTGAATAAAAACATATAAGATAATGTCTATGAAGAATCGACTAGAGTAGCTGGCATAACAGAAAATCAAAACATGGCTCTTTATCTCACTCAAGGTAAAAGCCAAAAGCTTTGCAATGGCCTATAGGGTCCCACATCATCTGGAATCCTTCCTGATCATCTACCTCTTACTTCTTTCCCCTGCTCATTCTTGTCTAGCCACAGTAGCCTCCATGGTATTCCTTGTACATATCAGACACACTCCTACCTCAGGGCCTTTGCATTACCTGTTCCCTCTGCCTGGAATATTTTTCCTTTAGGTACTCACACAGCTAACTCCCTTCCATCTTTCATGTCTTTATTCAAATGTTACCTTTTAAATGTATCCTATCCCTACATTCCCAATGCTCTATTTTTCCCCCATAGCACTTATTTCCTAACATAATGAATAACTTACATCTATTGTCTTTGTCACCCCCTTTCCAAGGATGTAGGTTCTACCACAACAGATATTTATCTTGTTTATTCATGGATATATCCCATTTACCTAAATAGTACCTGCCACTCTGTTAGGCACTGAATAAACATCTGACAAATGAGTGAATAAATGTGAGTTTTATTTTCATGAAGCAAACTAAGCATACTTAAAACTCTTTATAAAAAAAGAATCTAATTTTAGGAATGAAGCTTCTCTCACCACACACCTCCTATCATTTTGTGTACATATCTTACCTGATATACTGCAGATGAAATATTTAAGAAAACCATCTGCATTCTGCATTCTGATACTACTACCAAACATACTGCCATTTAAAATACATAAAAAGATTAAAAGTATTGTTTGGAACCTGACTCCCTGATTCAAATCCTAACACTATTTAGCTGTATGATTCTGGCCAAGTTATTTCATCTCTCCGCTTCAATTTTCTCAAGTACAGAAAGGGGGAAAATAGTATTTACTTCACTAGATTACTGTGGGGATTAAGTGAATGTCTGTGAAGTGTCTAGAATGGGCCTGGCACTTAGAATAGTGTTATCTATCATCATCGTCATCAAGAGAAGACTCAGAAATGGTCAATTCTGACTATGGATAAAGTGAAAGCATCTTCTCATTAACACATTAAAATGAATTAGCTAAATCCCTGGACATTTTAGAAGGCACAGAACTCCTAAAATGAGATACTGAGCAGATAAGAGAGAGAAAGGGAAACAGAAGCAGACAAGTTAAAAGTTTAGGTCAGAGAAAAGAGGCTTTTGATAACATGACTGTCAAAATGAGAGTTAAAATCAAACTTAACTACTTCAAAATATTGTCAAAGGCTGAACCTCCTCCTTAGAGCTTACTGCCAATGCAGCACTACAACAGAAAGAAAAGAAGGTAAGGAATGCATGCAAGCCTTTAAGACAATAATTGCTTCTAAAAGAATGTTCCAAATAGTTTAATAATATCAACACAGTATTTTGATTAATGTTTAAGTATTAAATTAGGGAAAAAGAAAATTAGTTTTGTAAACTAAATTAAGTCACACGTAACAGATTTCTGACAAGGGTCTTGAGAGGTTTGGAGAAAAAAGAATTATTCTGTTACAGATGAAGACAGAAAACAAAAAACAAGGATAAATGAGCAAATTTCTGGATGGTAAAGTAGAAACAGTGGTTCTAGGAACAGCCTTTTTCAACAGAGTTATAAATTACAAAGAAGATGTATACTGGGAAACTATATTCACGGAATTGATGCTAAGCAATTGTGGGTACTGAAAGGCCAAGTTGCAGCAAAAAAATATAGGAAGAGCTGAAGGTTGTATACGTGGGCAGAAAAGTAGCAGATCTATTTCTATTTCAGCAAGTGCAAGAAAATCAGCCTGCAGAAAAATAATCTAAAATATACTGAAAGATATGATCCAAGCTATTGGATTCAAGGCACAGAAGAACCTAAAAAGTACCTCTACGTGTTTCTAGAAGTTTTTGGTCTTAACATGCTTCCAGAACCAAAGCAACAAACAAAATCTCAAGTAAAAACCAGAAAGATACTGGAAATAAAACTCAAATCAATGGTGAATCCATGCATGAACAACATGTATCATTCTGGTCACTATGTCTCAAGTAAAGTATATTACAATTAGAGATGGTCCAGAAAAAGACAAAAATAAACAAAAACTGTAGGAGGTGGCAGCAGTGGAAAAGAGAACTGTTTAAGGAAAACAGAATCAAAAGGAATTAGAACTTTCTTCAGTATAGTAATGAGAACATGATTGAAGTCGATACAATTGTGAAAGATATCAACATGACTTGAAGTTTGAGGAAAATCAAGTGTTAAGACCCACTTCATACATTCACTGGATAGAGTCTGCTCTACTATCAAGAAACTTAGGATAAATTCAGACATGACAACATACTATCCTATTTTATGCAGAAATAAATATTTACAAAACTTAAGTAGACCAGATAACTTATTTAAGGCCCATATGATTCATATTCTATCATTTTAGGAACTGTAAACTAGAATGTTAAACTTATGAGCTTAATATATAATGTTGGTTAATAATAATTTTATTTTATTCAGTTTTCTTCCTAAGTTCAAAGAAAAGAAGGCTGCTTTAAGAACAGGCAAGAAGCCAAGTTGGGGAAAACAAATTTATTAAGTAGTAGTATAGCCTAACTACTGTATAATCTAAAACAACTTCAATCTAAATAACACAACAGGCTGGGCACAGTGGCTCATGCCTGTAATCCCAGCACTTTGGGAGGCCGAGGCAGGCAGATCACTTGAGGTCAGGAGTTTGAGACCAGCCTGGACAACATGGCAAAACCCCGTCTCTACTAAAAATACAAAAATTAGCTGGCCATGGTGGCTTGCGCCCAATTCCAGCTACTCAGGAGGCTGAGGCAAGAGAATCACTTGAACACGGAAAGCAGAGGTTTCAGTGAGCCAAGATCGCACCACTGTACTCCAACCTAGGCAACAGAGCGAGACTCCGTCAAAAAAACTAACATGGCAGGCTAATCAGTGAGGAAGAAGGAGGGTAAAGTATGGTTGCCTTGGAAAACCTTTTCTTATTAAAATTAATATATCAAAGAGAATCACAGTAGAGGTATTAGCTGCTTTACCATCACTACCAAACTCCACGTTACCTTCACAATTTCTAGTATATACATATACTAAATGCTAATTATGAAGGGAAAAGAGGCTAGGAGAAACGCCAAAAAACAAGTGGTTTTCAGCTACTGATTATTCTTTGGCACTAACATATCACCAAACTCACGTGATATGTTAGTAATGATATATTAACTTGGGAGTAGCGGCACATTGATTGTTACACTGATAAAATTCAGCAAGAAATAGAGACACCCTTCCTCTCTACTTTCCAGCTTGAGTCATCGTCATCCATTTTTGCCTCCCATTTTCTACATACTCCTAAACCATCATCACTCAAAGTCTTGAATGCAGTAACTTAGACTAAAACTTAGAAAGTAAAATCTTGCAGTTCTCTAACTTCCGAAGATTAGTATGCAATTCTTAACCCTTTATGCCTCAGAAATTTCCAAAATCCTCTAGAACAAAGTTCTGCTAACCGTCTTGGACTGTGAGAATGCTCAATCCTTTATTCATGTGGTCTCTTTGTATCTATTTCAGGTAGCATACACTCCTTGGTATTTATGAAGAGAAAACATAAAGTTTGGGGTAGCGTATAGTTTTGGCTCCCAATTCAGAAAAATTAAATGCATATAAGTCAGGGTAATATAAGATTAAAGGAAAGGTGAGTATGGCTACCTTGAAAACAACAGATAGCATTTTTCCAAGAAATTAAGATAAAAAGATGACAATTTTTCAAATCTAAAAATGAAAATTTAAAAGGCTATTTGTTATTTTCACTAAGTTGAAGGGCAATGGAAGTATACTAGTTGGTTTTTATCTTATTGTTCAATTTCTTACTTCCTAATATAATGCAATTAATTGTTCTGTAGAACAGATCCAGAATTGCCCAGGCAGTTTCCCACTAAGCCAAGTTCATGTTCTACAGAACCTAAGACACATCCATTTTACTGACTTCTACTCTTACCTTCTTTCATATCTTCAGAACCATATGCCCCTTGGACAGTGCTTTCTCTCAACCAAATAGGCCTCTCTTTGGCAGATTTCCCTTCCAGTGAGGCTCGATGAAGATCTTCTTGGTCATCCATGTTAATGACAACATTCTGAGTGTATAAGTCTTCATAGGAAGGACCTTTGGTGGCCCATGCTTCCCGGTGGTGCCCACCTGCTAGGCTAGCAGCTCCAGCAGTAGTTGCTGCATGGTCCTTGCTATATAAAAAGAATAGAGGAGTACAGGAAGAAGAAAAATTAATGTCTTGGTGTTGGAAAAGAAGGGCAGCTAGGGAGGCAATTACTGAAATACTACATGTAAATGCTACCTAGCAATCATGCACACATGCTTTAACAATTCCAAGAAAGTGCTTCTATACCTCAGGGTAAAAGTTGTATGCGTTAGAAAAACACATCATATTTATATTTAAGTTCCTCAAACATGGGATCCTCTGATGTATATAAATGACTGAGGTTTTATAGATTTAAGATGTTTCAATAAATCTATTAATACTTGGAGAAGGAGAAAGTGATATGGTGACATCATCTACTTAAAGCCACTAGTCTGACAAAAATCTCTCCCAGTATTTTGTTTAAAAAACAAAAACAAAACACATTGTATTTTTAAAAATGTTATCTCAGCTCAACCCAGAACAATTCAAAGTGGTTCTGTGTGCTTTTTCCTTTCTTTTGTGTGCTGATCATGGAAAAAGCTAGAAAACTATTCTACAAAGCCTGACCTCAACCAACGTTCTTCTCCCACCACTCATGCAGTAAGGTATAACCCTCTGCACAAACTAGCTGCTTTTCTATGTAGTTGTATGTTTCTATCTCCACATCTATGCTGATACTCTGTATCCATCTCCAACCACTGATTCTACTCTGCAGTAACAATGGTCTGTTTTTCTCAGTCTATTTTATTTTGCTTTTTACTTTTACCACCCACGATCTTCTTTGTCTGTTAGCCTGTTCCATGTCTGATCATTTCCTTATCTTCTAGTCACTTAAGTTCCCCCCAACCTCTGTGTTAGGCCAAGTTTTCAGTATTTCTGATGGTTCCCCATTTTATCTGCCTGTTTCACTCTCAATCTGTTCCAAATTCTTTCGAATATGCCTGATTCTCTGTCTGAGCTCATGCCTTTCTCTGCCTGCTACTGATGCTTTCCACTTCAACTTCTACGTATGCTTCTCCACCTCCCGCTCTGTCCAGCTATTTTTTATCCTGTAACCATCTTCATGTTTCTTGAACTGCCTGCTCACTCCAAACCTTTTGGGTGTTTCTTTCAGTGTCCATGACTGACCTGGTCTCACGTTTCTCCTTTATTTTTCGTCCGTTTTTCTCACTCTTTTCCATGGATCCTGAATTATCTCCTGTGTGGAGCCCCGACTCATTCTGAATCTAATAAATACTTCATTAGTCTTTCCTCCTAAGCCATTCACTATTTTGCCTTCACTTTTGTCTTACTTCATCTCTGCTTACTCCCTTACTCTTCACTTGTTCTGGGTCCACTTCTTATCTACTGGGGTTTTCTAACTCATACTTAGCTGAGGTCTGTGTCCGTGTATCTGATTAGCCCATCACATCTTTCCCTAAATTACACTGTGTTTCTGACCATCCTCTGGAGGTAAACTTGGGCTTAGCTCATCCCACCTATCCTGTCCTGCCTCTGGATATCTATAGGGCCATGCTACTTGTGCAACAAAAAAATAATGTTATCTCCAGTTGCCCAGTCCACACTGATCCAGTCATTTAATCCATGCCTTCCAGGTACTGCGTTTGCATACTTTTCATTATTCCACCTCTGTGCCCAGGGCTACTTTGTAAACCACTTTCTCCCACAGCCTTTTTCTTCCCGGTGCCTGTTCTACCTGTTCCATGTCTCAATCACTTCTTTTGCCTCCTCACTGCTCCTACTTTCTACCAGTTATTTGCTCTCCACTCTAAGTCTAGACCTATGAGGCATCTCTCTGTAAATATATCCAATCCATCTATTTTTTTTTTTTTTTTGCTATATTCTGAAGTCTTATGCTACAATTGCACATAACTGGTTTCTCTCTGCTATTTCTTTCTGCATTCATTGATGTTACTTTGTGTATCATTTCTTGTTCATCTCAATTTAACCATTAACTGTCCCTAGTCATTCTCTATCTTCTATCTGTTCTGTGTGGTCTTTTAAAGGCTATGTGGCTGCCTTCACTGTAATATGATGCTGCTTACTTTGTATAGGTTGGCTTTTCGAACTTTTCTCTTCTTCAGCATTCACTTTACTTTCTCTTTTCTCTTGGTCTGATCTGGTTTTTTATGTTTCTGTGCTTATTCTACATTCTGGCCTCTCCTCTCACACCCATTTGTCTCTCTGACTCCTTTCAATGCCTCTTCTATCCTCAGCCAACATCCCCATCTTGATGTGCTGAGCCTGCTCTATATATCTGCCACCCCAAAATGTTTCTCCCTGAGTTAGCTAAACCCACCTGGGAGAGACAGAATAGGCATATTTCTCTGATCTGGCCAACCACATCCTTATCTTTCCTTGATTCAGACTTAAATGACTCACTCACTCTGAGGTTACTGCTTCTCTTTATATATAATCCTGAACACAGAGTTTTTCTCTATTCTCTATCTTTAGCATTGACTACAAAGACTGTCTTATGAAGGTATGAGGAGTACTTTGAGAAAAACAAGAAAGCTAGAGAGAAAAGAACAGAATTAAAATAAATGTTAACACAAGAGTACTTTTAAAAAGTCTTTTGTTTTTAGTATTCTGTCATAGAAATTCAAGATGGGTTTTATTCTAGTTTGAGGCAGCAGACATTTGACCATAAGTCAAACAAATTTTAAAATTTGGAACAATTTTAATTGAAGATGACAAAAATGACAATTCATGTTTGAATCTTTTTATATTATTTAATAAATTTTAGAACTTTTAAAAGATACAACTCTTACTCAGAGATGAGAGGGGAATATTATTTCAAAACTAAATTTTTAAAAATCTTTAAGGTAAGTGTTAAGAGATGATGAAAAAGGGAAGGTTACTAGCAAGGAATTCCACTCTAGAAAGATAGGAAGATTTTTATATCTCATCAATAGGTTGACTTGCTGAAAGGATAGAATTGTCCATCAATTCTTGGGTTAGGCCTACTGACAGTTCTGCAGAGGTAGCCCCTAGTTTCTGATCTAGGGACAAGCTAGAATTTAACTGATTACAGATCAGTAATCAAACTAATAATATTGCCACTTATTTAAAAAAAGAAAAGCTATCATCTCTGAGTTCCCATACCATTCTATTGATGCCTCTTCTCTTGTACTGAGGCAGGATGGACTATTACATCCTTGGGGCAGGATGGGCCATTTCAAAACTTCATACTCCTATAGTACAGAAAGGCCAAATCAATACCACCTCCAGGATGTTATATCCAAGCAGTGGAATTTGTCAAATGCTTTGGTGGGGACATTATAACCTGGGTAACATCTTCTAACCTAATGGTTTTTTTCCTGACCACGTGGAAATGATTTTACTTTGGTCTGGCTGGCAGCTCTAGGAACCCCATTCTGTCTTTCTTGTCTGCCTCCATTTCCTCCCTTTTTTCTTAATGACCAGATTTTTGGGTATCCTTTTTTCCTGATCAGTTTATTTCCTCTATTTCCTGGTTCTTCTTCATCCCTGGAGTCACCATCATTCCTGATAAGAAGAAGATGACTTGATACAGAGAGCTGCTGTTGGGCCTCTGGTGTCACTGTACCACTAAGACTCATCCAAGGCCTGCAGTGAGTGGGGGATATGGAAATAAAGATCCTGGAAGGGGAGCTGGATTGTGGTAGGTGGAGAACATTAGAGACAGGAAGCCAGTGGTGGTGGTGACTGAATGCTATTGTAGTGGGGAAGCATCTTGATAAACAGGACAAATAACTACAGGTAGGAGAGGAAACATCAGAATAATTCAGATAGTATATTGTGTAGGAAGCAATCAGATACTACACTGACGCATACTTCAACATGAAATAATCCATAAGCTTAGAAAATTTTGTATTTTTGTAAAATCAATTTCCCTCATAAGCTTGTATGTTAGAGCTACAATATAACTTAAAAGGACTGAAAAAGATACAAAAAGAAAAATTCCTTTTTCAAAAGAGGAATTCCTTTTCTTACACAAAAAGAAATAAATAACCAGTACCAAAAGTTAAGGCTATCTGTGATACAGATGTTATTAGTTTCCTATCAACTGTGGCTCCTTTCTTTCTTTGCTTATTGGTTTTATTAAAATACCAATGGCAATTTGCTCCAAAGAACTCTGGGACCTTCCCCAGTCCTAGAAGGTAAACCTTAACTAGTCTAAGTACCAGTCATGTGATCTCATTTCCTTTGCCAGCTGCTGGTTTAGAAATATGCATATAAAACAATTGCAGCCAGTGAGACATCAGGGGATAAATAGAGTATCCTAGGGAGCCCTCTGGGAAACCTTTCTTCAGTTTTAAAATAGGACACAAGGAAGGGACGGTCCCTTTTTCTGCATTTGGACATTGTCATCTGCACGTGATACCTAGAAATACATGGCCATATTAGACTAGCTCCCCTCATGGTCCCAAGAGGATAATCAACAGGCTGAGTTCAGCAGAGTATAAAGATGGAACAAATCTAGATCCCTGAAGATATAATTGAGCTGTGAAATTAACCAGTTTTGAACTGTACTACTTCAAGACTTCTAGTCATGCAAGACAAATTTTCTTATTGTTCAATCTACTGCTAGACTGGATTCTAATTCCAACTAGAGCTGGATATTCTGTTATCACAGGCAAAGGCATCCTAACTGACACACGGTACTGGATTAGAAAATTCATAACTCTTACAGATACAAAATTTTCTGTAGAATTGGATTGCTTTGAACCATCTAAAAGGAGCCCAATTTACTCAGGACTGGCTATTCTGTAACATCAGTACCACAGGAAATAAAATACTAAGAATGCTCCTAAAAACTATACAAATACAGCCTGATTGTTGAGCTCTTTGGAAGGGAGTGGGTGAAGTGAAGGTTAAATAAAGATATCCCTTACTTGATGCTGGGAAGAGGGAGAGAAAAAAAAGGGTAGAGTAGGAGAGCACTCCCTGACCCCAATTTTCATTTATGCTTTTCAAGAAAGAATATAAACCACCTTTTCTGGCATGGCAAAACTAAGGTTACCTCTGAAATTCAAACATTAGGGAACACTGATAAAAATAGGGAGCCACTGTTAGGAGTATTAACCCATAGGTAACACCAGCTATACTTTACTTTCAAGGAAGTTGCAATTACAACTAAGAAATAAAGGTGATTAAAATGCTTCAAAAACAAAAAAGAAAATGCTGAATTCCTTAAAGGCCTTCAGCCTTCAGAAGCTGGCTAGGAAAATTCAAATATCCCCAAGCGGCACAACTAATTTAGGATTAGCTAACAATTGGCTGAGTTGCTGCAGTCCCAAGCAGAATGAGTACTTGAAGTCAAACCTAAATATTTAAAGATTTTTGCCTGAAGTCCACAGTGTTCTGCATTTAGAACAAACGAATTTCATCACAGGCACACGTTAATCAGACAAATGTGGCACAACTGAGAACCTACGTAACATTACAGTCTTGAGTCTCCTAGTAAATTACCCACTCTTGTTCTCCAAGGTACAGGTAGTTAAAACAAGAACAGGTTGAAATGTGTTCTTAGTAAGAGCACAGGGCCTACACTCACCTCTGTTTCAGGGCTGGGATTTCTGTGGGTTCTGGCTCAAGTATTTCATAGGCCAAGTTCACATCCTCTGTCTCCCGAAGCAATGCATAAATGGGCTCAATTTGTTCATTAAACCTTGCCAAAAGTGTGCGTGCATCTTTTTTGGGCATTGCTGATTCATCCTCTTCTACCTCTGTATGGCAAAAAGTACAGCGGAAAGTTCCTACAGAGAAAACAAGTATCTCAGGTCAGAGAGAAGACTTTAGCAGATAGTTTATACCTCCACCCTCCCCCAATATCTTATTATTAAAACTTTCAAATATACACAAAGGTTGAAAGAATTTCACAGTGAACAGCCATGTGACCACCATTTAGATTCTACAATTAGCATTTTGCTATTCATCACATATCTATCCATCTATCATTTTTGATGTATTCAAAGTAATTTCATCCCTAACTTCAGCATAGTTTTTAATCACAATATTTCTAATATGTATTTATTTTAACTTAAAGCCAAATTCTTTACAGCTTACCACCACAACTTGTACCCTTTCCTGGCAGCTTTAGTCTTTTTTGTTTTCACATTACACATTTGGGCCTACGTTATGGGGAAAGCCAAATAAATACCTAAAACCAAGAGTTTCTAGTCATCCTGAACATTGTCACAGGCTATTTTTTAAAATTTATTAACCATTTGTATCTAATCAATTCAATCTATTATGCTAAAACTCACACTCTTAAACATTACTTAACAGTCTACACCACTAGCCACACCTGGATTTCCAGTTTGGTTCTTATTCCCAAAGACAGGAATATGCATCCTTCCTTTCTGACTCAACTTACTTGAAAGATTAAAAGGGAACATGTAAGTACTTAGTGTCTGGCAAATAGTTAAGTACTCAAACATTTAGCTATAAAAGGCCCCATGTATGATTGATACATAAAGAACAAACAACCAAGTGATCTCTACTTCAACATAACACTAGATCCTACTGATACATTACCAGTATAATAATTTTCTTTACTGCCCCTCACACATAGCCAATAGCATGTAAATTATTTGTTCAAATACCCTAAAATACATCTTCTTATTGTCTAAATGCCACCTAATCTACATCTATCCCAAATAAGTGAGAAAGAGAGAGAAATGCAGCCCTTCACAGCTAGGAGGTGGCTCAGCACTCACAGCTAGACTGTGGCATTTTTCTGTCAAACAAGATCTCACAGATCACTAACATCAGACTATGATGGAAGTGAGGCAAACCCAAGCCACTGTGGAATTGCGTCTGAGAACAGACAAAAGCAAGGACTCCATGCAAACCACAAAAAATCCCATCTTGCACAAGTGACTGCTGCTTCTTTACCATTTAGTTTTAGCGTCACTCTGTTCTTGTCACCTCCTAGATAAGATTTATGAAGATACCCAATCATAGAATTATCCCCACTTCTTCACAGCATCCAATCCAAAGGAAACCTTCATCACTTCCCTGAATCCTCCCCAAAATTACCCAACAAAAGCCCACATTCTCTAAGTCTGTCCAACATCATCTTACCGACATTTCATGGTTTCCCCATGGTATGTGGCTTCCCTTGCTGCAGAAAGCATCAATAAACCTAACTTTGTTTACTACAGGTGCGTACCTGATAGCTTTTGACTAATGGTCACGAACATAAAGATTATAACTTAATCAACTGGACAAGAATACTATTATACCAAAGTAAAGAGAGGAAGAACTAGCTTTTTTTTTTTTTTTAGGTAAAAGATATCAAATTGCTTTAAATATAAAAATGAATATGTAAAAAGCCAACTAATTACAAATGCTAACAATTCAGCTCAAGAGAGGGGTTTAGACTACAAATTTAGATATGAGAATCAACAACCTATAGGTGGTAACTGAAGCCATATAGTAGATAGAAGCATCCGAAGAGATTAAGGAGAGTGAGAAGAAGCAGTTAAGGCATAAACTCAAGGAATGAGGAATCCTTGAGAAAGAGAAATGGTGCAACCAGAGTGACAGGATGGTGTTTCAAGGAAATGTATGGTCCTAATATTAAGAGGCCAACAAGAGTTGAAAACTAGCTTTTATATTTGGTAACAAAGGGTAAGAAGCAACCTTGGCTAGAAAGGTTTTAGGTAGAATGTTATCTTATATTATTCTCCAACTGTTCCAAGCTGTCTCAGCCTCTTCTCTTCAACAGAAGCAAGGAATATAATCATGTGGGGGCTTAAAAATAAACCACATAAAGTAGGGTTGAATATAGCTCTCGAATACCTGCTGAATTAAAAAACACACCAATGTGAGACTGGGACTTAAATTGACTGTTGAAAAATAAGCACCTACAGAGACTGTCAATGAGAACTAAGAATAGTTTGGAAGACAAGTTATCTAGTTCTGTAGTTTTCAAAATGTTTTTAAAGAAAGGAATCTCATTTCTCAAATGGAAAGGTGATTAATATATAAACATAAAAGCAAATGCTCTGGGGTAAAGTATAGAAACACAGCTAAGACAAAGGTTAATACTCCAACCCTCTCATTATCTGTTTTCAAAGCATCACAAACCGGCCTCCTCAATGTCTCCCATCAGGCACACTCTGCTGCAGAGCCTTTGCACTGCTGTGCCCTCTACCCAGATGCCTTCCCTCCAGAAAATCACATGGCTCATCTCCAAACTTACTTCAGTTCTTTACTCAGAAGCCACCAGTAAGGCCTTCTGTAGCCAACATTATCTAAAATTTCAACTGTCTTGTCCACCCAAACAATCGTATCCTCTTTCATTTTCTTTTCCCTTAGCATTATCATTATCCAACATGTTTTATTATTTATCTAATTTATCATTAAAAAGTCATGTTATACCCGAATTTTAAAAAAATGTCCTCCCAAATACCCCATTTCTCATTTTAAGACAATATGTACTCCAAACTTCAGCTTTAAGTAAACAAATCAACATGCTTGTCAGTGTAGCTCATCCTCATAAAACAGCAGTGCTTTTATTTGGGGAAAAGAGAGAAAGAGAACAACACTAATATCATTATTTCACAGAAGGACAATCTCAGAATGACAGTCCTTTAACTCGAGTAATTTATTTTCATGAAAAAGAATAGGGGGAAAAATAAAGTATATAGTCATAAGGCACCTAAATTCTAATCTCATCCAAACTTAACAGGAGTTACTTACAGAAGGGCTGATTTTGCAGGTATGAAAACAGCAGCTTTAACATTATTACTAAGAACTGTGAAGGGTCTGAGATTTTACCCTACTTGTAAGCTAACAAGTTATTCTGCCAGTTTCATGGATACTGGCAGAAGACACAAGACCCCAGGTCAGAGACAAAGAACTTCACTACTCAAGGAAATAGCAGTAGCCAGTGTCAGTATTTAAGCCAGTTCCCCATGCCCCAATTTCCATGGGGTGCGATAGAAGGGCCAGGTAACAATTACACATGCAATGGGTTGTGTTACAGGAAAGAGAGCCTGAGCTTAAAAGGAACTCAAATATTTTATAATGGGCATAAGCATGCCCATTCTTTGCACTGGAGGGTGGCATTATCCTTACTTACTATAAACTCTATGTAAACATGCTCTGGAAGGAGACACTTTTTATACTGGACCATAAGCAAACCTGCTCTTTGCTCTGAAGAGAAATACTATCTCTGTCTTGCAAGGCTGCTCGTTATATAAACATCCTTGAAAATGATAGTCCAGGAAAAAAAGCAGTCAGTCTGTATCTCTGCTTGCCAAGACATGCATAACATGTGAGAGACCCATGGAGAATAGTCTCCCAATAAATACCACATCTAGCAAATATTACAAAAGGAAAAGCTAGCCTGACATCTCTGAGCCCTGTGTTTATCACAAAAACATTAGTTATAAATGAGAAGCCTGTCAAAGCCAAATGTAGAATTTCTTATTTTTCTTCTGGGACCCTAAAAAATGCAAGAAAAGTAAGAAATTTGACATTTTACAGAAAATGACTTAAGACCAGTTTAATATACCAGCAGCATTTTTTATACATTTCACTACGCATTGTAAAAATGCAAATCAGTTTTCCTGAAATCAGAAGGGGCAAGTGGCAAGGGGCAGGAGGACACGGAAACCCAGCACATACTATGTAGCAAGCAGGCACCCACGCTACTGAGAGAGTGGTGGTGGCATACACAGACAGAACCAGTCAGCAAGAAGCTTTAGTAGGGAAGAAAGATGTCTGGAGATAAAACAATCAGGGATCAGTGCAAAAAATAAAGTACATAAATGTTTTGGAGTTCAAAGAAGGAATGTGACTTCTAGCTGAGGACACTAGGAAAAGCTTATTGAGAAGGTAAACCTTTTTGAGAGACAGTTTAGAAGATAAAAGATGAAGGAGAAGATGAAGGGGTAAGGGAACAGGACATTCTAGATCATCATAAGAGAAGTAGGGTGGTTGAAAAATGATGTTAGACTGCAATTTCAGTCTGATAGGAAAACAGTTATCAAAAAGAATGATAAAAAACAGACTTAACAAGATAAACTGGGGTGACCATAAATTGGTCTTGAATGATAAGCTTCATTTTGACTTTATTCTTTAGTAATAGGAAAGCCACAGAAGGGTGTTAGGAAAGACACTGAGGTCATGAAAACTAATATTTACATATATTGATCTGCCTGAGTGGCTTGAGATGGCCTCTCAATAAGGCAGTTCTTAACTGAGTGTCTGCATAAAAATCCCCAGTGGAATTTATACTCAGGCTCCATGCCACAAATGCTGATCCCAGAGGTCCAGAATGGGGCCCAGGAATTAGAATTTTTAAAGTTACACAAGGAATTCTGATGCCTACACCTGGTAGAGAGCTGCTATTAAGCAATATGATAAACATCCCAACTTTTCTTGTAACTAGACCATTCTACACTAAGTAGTGTACATAGACTATACTACTCAAGAATGAGAGAAGATACTGAAATTGAAACTCAGAGCTCTGCACAATTTTTCCCTTTTCACATATAAGATCAAGAAGGCAAAACCCAGAAATGGTGAATCCAAGGCATGCAAGGGAGAACATGCAAGCTAGATCTAAGAATGTGGCAACAGAGAGAAAATGAAGGCTACAAAGATTCTTTAGGCAAAGCTTGACAAATGATGGGGTTAGGAGGAAAAAAGGAGTTCTATAACACATTTGTTTGATAAGCTATACTCAGAAACCACAAAAAGAACTAAGAAAGCTACTTTACAAATATTCCTATATATTCATCAGAAGCAAATCTATGCAATAATTCTATCCAAATCTGACATACAAGGAAATGAACGCTTAAGAGGCGTTAAGTTTACCAAGTCATAGCTTGAAAACAAAAATCACTAAACTTGGATTCAAATACAAATCTTTCTGTCTCAAAAGACTAAATTCACTATACTATCCTGAATTATACATTCCTTCCAACTTCCTATCAGCCCTGCCAGCTACAATTTAGCAAACTTTTCCCATGTATATACATTAGCTCCACTTTTCAAAAATATTGAATAGAAGGAGAAAAGATTTATAACAAATAATTTAACAAACATAAGTGCCTGTCACATACCTGGCATTTACTTGGCTAAGTCTTAACCTATCAGGTTTGCCAAACAAATAAAAATAAATCCCATTGCAGATAACGAACAGGCATTGAAAGTGGGAAGAAAAAAATATCTTTTATAAATAGATATTTCAAAGCTATATTTTAGGGTCATATATTCAGTAGTATAGGAATGTCCCAATTTTATAACTCAGGATTCTTCTACAGAAGGTAAGTTATCACTCCACAATGAGAAAAGAAATGGAGACCTAATTGTGGGGATGAGGGGGACAGTGGCAGAAGAGGGAGGGGAAAGGGAAAGAGTTCTACACCATTTTAATTTTAACTTTCTCCAAAATAAAAAAAGTAAAAGCAAAAATGAATTGGGGATGGGGAGGGTGGGGGGAAGGGATTGGTAACAACAATTAAAAAAAAAAACAGTAATGCTCAGCGAAATTTGAAACTTGACATTTTTTCTTTGCTAAACACAGAAGAAAATTTAAGTGGTATATATGATACCAGCCAAGGCCTTCAACTTAACTGCTTCCAACATATTTCATTTTAACAAACATGTTACTCACTGTAATTATATGGGTATTCAGTCAAGAGAATAAATAAATAAATACAAATAAAACCAAAGCAAAAAAAAGAAAACCCCACCAAAAACTTGTTTATTCTCTTGAGTTTGACAAGTACGTGCTCTGGAAATGTATAACTGACAAAAAGGACACAGATACGTGACACTAGGGCAGAAGACATTATTAGTCAAATCCTCAATTAGTCATTACTTAGCATTATATTTTTCTCTCTTCAGTCCAGTATATAAAATGAATAAGCCATCAGCTAATGCCCACAATTCACTGACAAATATTTGTCAAAGGTATCAGTTGCAACTGAAATATTATTCAGTCATTTTTCCCACAAACTTTTAAAAAATCAAAATAAGCTCAAATGCTTTGATATGGCACAGGGTGCTTAAGTGCTCAAGTGGGACTCCTATTGCAGCCCATGTCCTCAAGGCTGGCCAAGGAAACAGGGAAGATCAAATGTCTGCTGCTGCAGAGCTCTCACCCCAGAACAGTGGGTTTGATATCCCCAGGGCTTCTGACATTCAGCCTTCCCAAGTCCAGCCAATCATCTTCTGAGCTACTTTCATGGCCCTCACATTCTAGTTGGGGGTAGTCAAGACACAAAAAAATCACATCCATAGTATATAAGTATTACAGGGGAAAAAAAGCAGGGAAGGAAGAAGGTGAAGGGAAAGGGGTGTTGCTCTATTATATAGGAAACTCAGGGTAGGCCTCTCTCATATAACAATGTAAAAGCAGAGACTTAAAGATGGGAGCAAGTCATGCAAATGTTTGGACAAGGGAAAATAGCATGCAAAAAGGCAAATAAAGTAAAGGCATGCCTGGTGCACACAAAGCACAAATAAGGTGGCTGCTGTGAACATGGGAATAATGATAGAAATAGTCTCCAAAAGGGGAAATTGGGGAGGAAGCAAATAGAAGACTTTATAAATTCTGTTGAGGACTTTGACTTTTCTGAGGGAAAGAAGAAGCCTCTGGAGGATTTTTAACAGAAGAGTGGCATGCTCTGATATGCTAGAAGGATCACTAGTTGCTATGACAAATAGTCTACACGGGAACCAAGAGTGAAAGCAAGGAAACTACCTAAGAGAGCTTTGCAAAATCTAAGCAAGAGATAATGGCATGCATAACTTTCCTGGACAATCTTATGAAAAAACTTTGAATCCAAGTTTTTTACTCCCCTTCACTCAAAAAGCTTCCAGGAAAAAGAAAAAAACAAAAGACATTTCACAGTTCCATGTTAAAACTAAGTAGCTAGAAGCAGAACTCCTAGGATTTCAGTGAGATAAGGAGGAAACTATAAAATTTCAAGACATAACACTAATATATATGATTAATTTTACTGCACTGTAAACATCCAACCACCATATAGGTTAGGAAGCATATTTAGACACCGTTTTCCCCTCCCACTGAATATTTTATGAAATACATAAAACCACCCCCCAAAATTCAATTTAGTTTGTCCTTCCTTAAATGTGAACTTATCTGGATTTGGTCAAATCATGCATCATTCCTCCATTCTGGAACTCATTATAAAGGGGAAAAAAGGTACAATATGGGGGAAGAAGGGCAAAAAACAACAAACTGAAGGATAATACATGGATGAATATTAAAGCTTGCAACAAATTATCTAAATTAGGCCCAAATCAAATTCATCTCAGCATGCAGAATCAAACTCATCTCAAATACCTAAAAGACGATAGCCAATAGAATATATATATGCGGAAGGTAGTGAATTGGGGAGCTTGGAAAAATAAGACTGCTTAAAATTATTAATATTATTCTCCATTATGCCTGTGCGTTTCTGAAGATGTAAACAGAGCATATTTTCTATATGAATACTATAACTGAGGGGTCCCAATTCCTAACCAAGGCTTCTAAATTAACCCAAAGTGACTAACATAATCCTCTAAAACCAGTGATAAAACCCCCAAGCTTCTCCATACTTTTAGAATGTCAAATATGTTCCAAATCAAAGAGTAAGTATAAAACTAGAGTTGAGAGAAGCCATATATGGTATAGAATAGGATGAACGTATCATTTTACACATGCTAAAAGAAGGCCAAGAATGGTTACAGGATTTGCCCAAGGTAACAGTTACTAACATGACTAAGACTAAAAGCCAGGGCTCTTGAATCTTAACATCCTTTCATTTTACTGTCTTGCAGCCACTGCTGAAAAGAAAAGCCAAAAAACTTCTAGAAATGACATGAACACTGAACATACTGATTATGCAAAAGGACCCAACATAATAAGTGTTCTAAATAAAACTATACAATATTATGAAAAGTTGACCAAGCATTACTAACCATAAGCTGTTTTAATAAAGTATTTAAGAATCACTTTGCATCAAAAGAGACAAAGAAGGCCACTACATAATGGTAAAGAGATCAATTTAACAAGAAGAGCTAACTATCCTAAATATATATGCACCCAGTACAGGAGCACCCAGATTCATAAAGCAAGTCCTTAGAGACCTACAAAGAGACTTAGACTCCCACACAATAATAACTGGAGACTTTAACACCCCATTGTCAATATTAGACAGATCAACGAGACAGAAGGTTAACAAGGATATCCAGGACTTGAACTCAGCTCTAGACCAAGCGGACCTAACAGACATCTACAGATCTCTACATCCCAAATCAACAGAATATACATTCTTCTCAGAACCACATCACAATTATTCTAAAATTGACCACATAATTGGTAGTAAAATACTCTGCAACAAATGTAAAAGAATAGAGATTGGCCAGGCGCGGTAGCTCATGCCTGTAATCCCAGCACTTTGGGAGGTCAAGGCAGGTGGATCACGAGGTCAGGAGATCGAGACCATCCTGGCTAACACGGTGAAATCCCGTCTCTACTAAAAATACAAAAAATTAGCCGGGCGTGGTAGTGGGCACCTGTAGTCCCAGCTTCTTGGGAGGCTGAGGCAGGAGAATGGCATGAACCCGGGAGGCAGAGTTTGCAGTGAGCCGAGATCACGCCACTGCACTCCAGCCTGGGCAGAAGAGCGAGACTACGTCTCAAAAAAAAAAAAAAAAAAAAAATGTCTCTCAGACCACAGTGTAATCAAATTAGAACTCAGGATTAAGAAACTCACTCAAAACGCACAACTACATGGAAACTGAACAACCTGCTCCTGAATGACTACTGGGTAAATAATGAAATGAAGGCAGAAATAAAGATGTTCTTTGAAACCAATGAGAACAAAGACACAACATATCAGAATCTCTGGGATACATTTAAAGCAATGTGTAGAGGGAAATTTATAGCACTAAATGCCCACAAGAGAAAGCAGGAAAGATCTAAAATTGATGCCCTAACATCACAATTAAAAGAACTAGAGAAGCAAGAGCAAACACATTCAAAAGCTAGCAGAAGGCAAGAAATAACTAAGATCAGAGCAGAACTGAAGGAGATAAAGACACAAAAAACCCTTCCAAAAAATCAATGAATCCAGGAGCTGGTTCTTTGAAAAGATCAACAAAATAGATAGACTGCTAGCCAGACTAATAAAAAAGAAAAGAGAGAAGAATCAAATAGATGCAATAAAAAACGATAAAGGGGATATCACCACCGATCCCACAGAAATACAAACTACCATCAGAGAATACTATAAACAACGCTACAAAAATAAGCTAAAAAATCTAGAAGAAATGGATAAATTCCTGGACACATATACCCTCCCAAGACTAAACCAGGAAGAAGTTGAATCTCTGAATAGACCAATAACAGGCTTGGAAATTGAGGCAATAATTAATAGCCTACCAACCAAAAAAAGTCCAGGACCAGACACAGCTGAATTCTACCAAAGGTACAAGGAGGAGCTGGTACCATTCCTTCTGAAACTATTCCAATCAATAGAAAAAGAGGAAATCCTCCTTAACTCATTTTATGAGGCTAGCATCATCCTGATACCAAAGCCTGGTAGAGACACAACAAAAAAAGAGAATTTTAGGCCAATATTCCTGATGAACATCGACGTGAAAATCCTCACTACAATACTGGCAAACCGAATCCAGCAGCACATCAAAAAGCTTATCCACCAAGATCAAGTCGGCTTCATCGCTGGGATGCAAGGCTGGTTCAACATATGCAAATCAATAAATGTAATCCATCACATAAACAGAACCAATGACAAAAAGCACACGATTATCTCAATAGATGCAGAAAAGGTCTTTGACAAAATTCAACAGCCCTTCATGCTAAAAACTCTCAATAAACTAGGTATTGATGGACTGTATCTCAAAATAATAAGAGCTATGACAAACCCACAGCCAATATCATACTGAATGGTCAAAAACTGGAAGCATTCCCTTTAAAAACCAGCACAAGACAAGGATGCCCTCTCTCACCACTCCTATTCAACATAGTGTTGGAAGTTCTGGCCAGGGCAATCAGGCAAGAGAAAGAAATAAAGGGTATTCAATTAGGAAAATAGGAAGTCAAATTGTCTCTGTTTGTAGATGACATGATTGTATATTTAGAAAACTCCATCGTTTCAGCCCAAAATCTCCTTCACCTGATAAGCAATTTCAGCAAAGTCTCAGGACACAAAATCAATGTGCAGAAATCACAGGCATTCATACACACCAATAATAAACAGAGAGTCAAATCATGAGTGAACTCCCATTCACAATTGCCACATAGAGAATAAAATACCTAGGAATCCAACTTATAAGGGATGTGAAGGACCTCTTCAAGAACTACAAACCACTGCTCAACGAAATAAAAGAGGACACAAATGGAAGAACATTCCATGCTCAAGGATAGGAAGAATCAATATCGTGAAAATGGCCATCCTGTCCAAGGTAATTTATAGATTCAATGTTATCCCCATCAAGCTACCACTGACTTTCTTCACAGAATTGGAAAATACTACTTTAAAGTTCACATGGAACCAAAAAACAGCCTGTATAGCCAAGACAATCCTAAGCAAAAACAACAAAGCTGGAGGCATCACACTACCTGACTTCAAACTATACTACAAGGCTACAGTAACCAAAACAGCACGTTACTGCTACCAAAGCAGATATACAGACCAATGGAACAGAACAGAGGCCTCAGAAATAACACCACACCTCTATAACCATCTGATCTTTGACAAACCTGACAAAAACAAGAAATGAGGAAAAGATTCCCTATTTTATAAATGGTGCTGGTAAAACTGGCTAGCCCTATGTAGAAAGCTGAAATTGAATCCCTTCCTTACACCTTATACAAAAATTAACTCAAGATAGATTAAAGACTTAAATGTAAGACCTAACACCACAAAAACCCTATAAGAAAACCTAGGCAATATCATTCAGGACATAGGCATAAGTAAAGACTTCATGACTAAAACACCAAAAGTAATGGCAACAAAAGACAAAATAGACAAATGGAATCTAATTATACTAAAGAGCTTCTGCATAGCAAAAGAAATTATCATCAGAGTGAACAGGCAACCTACAGAATGGGAGAAAATCTTTGCAATCTACCCACCTGACAAAGGGCTAATAACCAGAATCTACAAAGAACTCAACAAATTTACAAGAAAAAAACAAATGACCCCATCAAAAAGTGGGCAAAGGATATGAACAGACACTTCTCAAAAGAAGACATTTATGCAGCCAACATATGCATATGCAGCATAGATGACATATGAAAAAATGCTCATCATCACTGGTCATCAGAGAAATGCAAATCAAAACCACAATGAGATACCATCTCATACCAGTTAGAATGGCAATCATTAAAAAGTCAGGAAACAACAGATGATGGAGAGGATGTGGAGAAATAAGAATGCTTTTATACTATTGGTGGGAGTGTAAATTAGTTCAACCATTGTGGAAGACTGTGGCGATTCTTCAAGGATCTAGAACTAGAAATACCATTTGACCCAGCCATCACATTACTGGATATACACCCAAAGGATTATAAATCATGCTACTATAAAGACACATGCACACGTATGTTTACTGCAGCACTATTCACAATAGCAAAGACTTGGAACCAACCCAAATGACTGTCAATGATAGACTGGATTAAGAAAATGTGGCACATATACACCATGGAATACTATGCAGCCATAAAAAAGATAAGTTCATGTCCTTTGCAGGGACATGGATGAAGCTGGAAACCATCATTCTCAGCCAACTATCACAAAGTCAGAAAATCAAACACCTCACGTTCTCACTCATAGGTGGGAGTTTAACAACGAGAACACATGGACACAAGGCAGGGAACATCACACACCAGGGCCTGTCGGGGGTGGGAGGCTGGGGGAGGGATTAGCAGTAGGAGAAATACCTAACGTAAATGACGGGTTGTTGGGTGCAGCAAACCAACATGGCACATGTATACCTATGTAACAAACCTGTACGTTGTGCACATGTACCCCAGAACTTAAAAGTATAATAAAAAAATAAAATTTAAAAAATAAAAAAAGAATCACTTTACATTGTTAGATTTCTAAAGGGCTTCTGGAGGATGGTGTTAGGGATACAAGGTAACAGGACTGGAAGGATAAGCAAAAACTTCGTAGTTTCTCTGTTATGACAGAGAAAATTGGTGGGAGTGCAGTGAGCGGAAAAGCCACAGAGAGGAAAAACTAGTTTGCCATTTTAGTTTACATACCTCTCTACTATTTGTGTCTTTACCAAGTTTTCATTCATATATTACTTATTTTATTTTTTTGAGACAGAGTTTCGCTCTGTTGCCCAGGCTGGCAGTGGCGTGATCTTGGCTCACTGCAACCTCTGCCTCCGAGGTTCAAGTAATCCTTGTGCCTCAGCCTCCGGAGTAGCTGGAACTACAGGTGTGCGCCACCACACCTGGCTTTTTGTATATTTAGTAGAGATGGGGTTTCACCCTGTTGGCCAGGCTGGTCTTGAACTCCTAACCTCAAGTGATCCGCCCACCTCGGCCTCCCAAAGTGCTGGGATTACATGTGTTGAGCTATCGCTCCCAGCCATATATTACTTATGTATTTTTAAAAGAAAGAAAACGAATGCCATATTGAATTCTCCAAAAACATTCAACTCCCTCTTAATCAATATGCAGAAGCTATACAGTCATTCCTGGGCTTTTCTGAAAGCATTATCAAGTCCTTTGTTGCAATTTTTATAACTCATAATGTTCGGGGGAATATCTATTAAAATGTAATTTTGAAGTCTCAAAAAGTCACCTTTTAGTCTCATTCCTAAACTTTATTTTCATAAAGCAAATTTCTTCAGTTTAATTGGGCAAGGGAAAATGTATAGAAAAAGGAGTTGCTATTAGCAAACAGTAACACACATGACAGGAACATAGTTTTACATTACATTTAATTATTTTACCTATAATAAAAAGAAATTTGAAAAATCATCTTATAAAAATTCACCACAGAACACTTAACACTGCAAAATACTCATTCATCTGCATGCAAAAGAAAAAAAAAGCAGATTTAATGTTTTTGAAATTCAGAATCAAATGTATCAATGATTTACACAATACAACCTCACCCTCCAAAATTCAATTTAATCAATGAAATTGGGTTCTACTTCCTTAAACAGGAATTTATCTGGATTTGGTCTAATCATGCATCATTCCTCAATTCTGGAACTTATGATAAAGGGGACAAAAGGTACAATGTGGGGGAAGAAGGGCAGAAAACAACAAACTGAAGTATGGTACATGGATGAATATTAAAGCTTTCAATAAATTCTCTAAATTAGGCCCAAATCAAATTCATCTCAGCATGCAGAACCAAACTCATCTCAACTATCTGAAAGACAATAAAGAATAGAATATTGTATCAAAATCCAAAGCATCAAAACTAAAAAGCAACTCTTCACAAATAAGCAAATAAATTAGCTTTTATGTCACTGGCATCAAAATACAAAAAAGATAAAAGATTGTTTTTTTTTGTTTGTTTGTTTGTTTTCTGAGATGAAGTTTCACTCTGTCGCCCAGACTGGAGTGCAGTGGTGCGATCTCGGCTCACTGCAACCTCTGGCTCCTGGGTTCAAAGGATTCTCCTGCCTCAGCCTCCCGAGTAGCTGAGATTACAGGCGCACTCCACCACGCCCAGCTAATTTTTGTATTTTTAGTAGAGATGGGGTTTTGCTATGTTGGCCAGGCTGGTCTTGAACTACTGACCTCAAACGATCCACCCACCTTGGCCTCTCAAGGTGCTGGGATTACAGGCATGAGCCACTGTGCCCAGCCAAAATGTTTTTTTAAAAAAGTTCTCAAATCCTCAAAATCAAAAGCAGCAGAATTTTAAAAAATCAGACCTAAAGGTTTTGTGGTGGAAGGGTAGAAGAGGGACGATACTTGTTCCTATCTTTCCATAACTCATTTTTATATATATTTTAACTTTTTCTAATAAATTTCCCCCCCTTACTCCCCCCACTCCCCAATCCATACCTTTGAGTTCTGTGGCATAATTGTCTAACCCATGCTGGATAAGATTCCAAAGACTGAGGACTCAGCAACTGAGCAAAACAATCTTGGAAAGATTTCTTTTTGTGTTTGTGTTTTTAGCACTTCAGGAATTGAAAACACTGCTTATAAGATACCTCCTGTCCTGGCAATAACAAATGCTGGCAAGAACGTGGAGGAAAGGGAACTGTCGTACACTGTTGGTGGGAATGTAAATTAGTACAATCACCATGGAGAACAGTTTGGAGGTTCCTCAAAAAACTAAAAATAAAGCTACCATATGATCCAGCAATCTCACTGCTGAGTATATACCCAAAAGAAAGGAAATCAGTATATCAGATGTATCTGCATTCCCATGTTTGTGGCAGCACTGTTCACAATAGCTAAGATTTGGAAGCAACCTAAGTGTTCATCAACAGATGACTAGATAAAGAAACTGTGGTGCACATACACAATGGAGTACTATTCAGCCATAAAAAAGAATGAGATTCAGTCATTTGCAACATAGACGGAACTGGAAATCATTATGTTAAGTGAAATAAGCCAGGCACAGAAGGATAAACATTGTACCTTCTCACTAATCTGTGGGATCTAAAACTCAAAATGATTGAATTCGGGGACACAGAGAATGAAAGGATGGTTAGCAGAGGGTAGAAATGGTAGTAGGGATGGGGGATGGCTAACTGGTAAAAAAAATAGTTAGAAAGAATGAATAAGACCTACTATTTGATAGCACAACAGGGTAACTATAGTCAATAATTATACATTTAAAAATAACTAAAATAGTATAATTGGATTGTTTGTAACACAAAGGATAAATGCATGAGGGGATGGATACCCCATTCTCCATGACGTGATTATTACACATTGCATGCCTGTATCAAAACATCTCATGTACCCCATAAACATATACACCTATTTAGCCACAAAAAATTTCTTTTAATTAAAAAAATTTTTAAAGATATCTCCTATTCTAAGTAGAAAGAGAAGACAGGAAAAAGCAGCCTGCCCTATGAAGGCAAACTCTTTAATCAAGTCTCACAAATAGAGAATCTTAAAAATTTTTAAATGTTAGGGTAAGGGAACAGAAAAGGAATCTCAATGAATGGGGCCATCAGGAAATGGATCTGTCCAAACCAAAAAGTTTTATCTGTAGTCACAAGCCAAGAAGGGACTCATATGATTTAACTCCAAACTTACATATGAATATCTCAAGTAGATACCAAGTTTACTTGACTATTCCAAACTCAGAACTCATCACTAGAAGAGATCTATTCCATTGTTGGCTATTTTTACGAGTTATTTATTAGACACTTACTTAATTATCAAAGACTTCTTTATGCTAATACTAAAATCTGTTGCTAAGTCTTTCCATGGAGCCAAACAAAACAAGGTAAATCTCCATGAGAAGTGTCATATTCTCCCTTAATAGTAAATCTAAAACAGCCTAGCAATGTATATACCCCTAGATTTATTCGTTATTACATTATGCGATCCTCCAAATCCAAGAGTACAACATAGGCATGTCCATGTGCACCCACATACACATTATTTGTTGAGTTGAACTAGATAATCTCTGAATTTCTATTTCTAAGATTTTATTAAATATACATTTATAAGATTCTTTTTTAAAAAAAAATTAAATTATCTCATCTCAAAATTTAAAATGTGACTCCTAGGTCCCTAGGTGAATGCAGTAAAAGGGGCTCCCGAATTATTTCCAATTCAAACATCTAACAATTCTACTCCACCCACTCACAGTAAAACTACAATGCCATATATGTTTTTAGAGAAGCTCTAAAACTGTATTTTTTTGCCCAATATTCCCACTGCCAAGAATTCATAAGAAAAAATGTGAACAGGAATAATGTGCTATATATACAAAGGTATTCAAAGCATCTTATCTATACCAGCAAAAAATAGATACCCCCAAAGTGCCCAAAAGGAGGGGAAAGGAAAATGGGAAAAAATTACACCTATTAAAATGTATTTTGAACACTAGATAGAAACAGGAGAGTTTGGTACATTAAGAAACCAAGAGATCATAAACTATTCTAAGCTATGATTGTAATTGTAGGTAATACGTAAAAGGCTGGTGGCTTTGTGGGTGATTTTTTTCTCTTCAAATTTGTCTCTGGCATTATGGTTGCATAATTTTTAAACTAAAAATGGAAAATATAAAGCTATTTCCAAATCATCTAACCTTAACATCTAAAAAGAGCTAAGATCCCCCTCTGCCCTTCAGGAGAAGCATGCTGTTGAACTTAACTTAGAAGTGTTAACTTAGGGTGATTAACTAAATCACCCATGGTTGAGACTGCTAAAATAGAAATACTTAAGTCTATTTAAATGGTCAGAAAGCTTGCTAAATCTAAAACATGCATTTATGAAACACAAGATGTTATTTTGCTGATTCACTGAGAGATTTCATGTCATGTTTTTGTTTTGATTACATAATCCTCCCATATTTTAGAAACTTAAAACCTGGTTTCACCTTAATGATTAAGCTTCTGATTGACTAGTGTGCAAAGGCTAGGCTATTCCATTTTAACAAATAATGTATCTATACATTTGAAGAGAGTTCAACCCAGAAACATCAAAAGCAAATCTAAATGGAAAGTATGGAGAAAATTTACAATCTTTAGGAAAAGTAGAGATGGAGTAGGAAATAGTAGTAAACTGAAGTAGGAAGACCGGTGGCTTATGTGTGAATTAACAATGGTAAACAATCCTTGCTGGGCTGTTTCCTGGGTCCAGAATTTGCAGGTGGTCCTCAGGAGCTCATCTAGGAGTTACTACCCTTTGTCCTGTGGCAGAGAGCTGCCCATACACTTGAGTTAAGCACCTTTTGTCAGGGAAAACAGTAAAATCTAGCAGGCTTCAAATCCAATTTCTGAATATCCCCTAATTGCTTATGTAAACCATAAGTCAATCTAAGAACTATTGAAAAGAAATGGAGGTAGAAGGCCATTAAATACTTCCATCACTTGATCAGAAATATTATCAATCTCCTCTAGCAACCAAGAAACTGGGTATTTGTACAGGACTGGGCTTAGAAAGAAAACTACAATCTACCAATTTAGACAAGGCATAATTATTACAGCAGAAAAAGTTCCCTCCTTCCTTACTACACACACCAAATTTTTATTGCCCATCTTCTTCATAATGGGGTGGGAGTAGAGGAGAGGACAGAGAGATGAATACCGAGCAAAACAAGAAAGAATAATAGAGAAAAACACAAAGATTTCTAAAAGGAATGTACAGACCAAAGGAAGTTGTTGGGTATTAATAGTTTAAAAAAAAAAACAAAAACAAAACTCAAAACATCAGAACTGGCAAACTAGAGCCTAATATCACCTAATCAGCACATTTTCTCCTTAAAGGAGCATCTAAATGAAAAGCCACGTTACAATAAAAAGGCAAGTATGTTCTCAGAATGAGGGTCCCTAATGATTATAAATTTTTAATCATGATACCTCAGGCTTTACTGTAGGACATAACTGCCAATTAAGCATTAGTGTTGGCTGACCAGGGCACCCTCCCCTGAGTGACATTAAGATTAAGTGGCTTATTCTTGCTCTCAGGCACCCCTTCTTTTCATCTTCATGCTGACCATAGCCCTCACATTAAAAATAGTCTTTGTTCAGACTGGCCACAACACAATTGTTTCAGTTTTAGCTTTATTTCATAAAATACTTTCATGCCCTCTACCCTAACTCCTTGATTCAAGTCACCTTGACTGTACTGGATGGAATGTTAGGCCATCTCTTCCACAGGCCATCTATTGAGTCAACTAGTTTCATTCAGAATCCAGGTGAAATTCAAGAGTATCATGATCAGTCTCCCAAATACTGATATATAAGTAGTGGAATCATCTCCTTTTAGAAAGTTTAATTAAATTAATATGACTCAAATGACAAATAAATGTAGTAGAAGCATGTTATTTTAGATTACTCTAAGGGACTGGATAACACCTTCTACTGTGGTCAAGAGTGATGAAGCCTCCACTGTTAAAACCAACATCTGTAGAGAATTACAAAACCAAGAACCCAGAGCTCCTGTAAGAAATCTGTTAGAGTGAATGGCAAGAATCATGAGACTTTTCTAGTCTATTTTGAAGAGCTCCAGATATATTCTACAACCTTCCTCTATAGAACACTCAAGCAATTCTCATACCGAGGATGGTTAAGACTTTCTTATAATCAAGATCTCTCCTTGTGGAGCCCTTTCAAGGTAAAAAGCTCGGCTCAGACAAATTAAATGTTTAATACAATTGTGAATTCCTTAAATCAGTTTTCATCCAAAATCATTGCCTCACAGTAAATAAGAAAAAAAGGTCACAGATTGCTTCTGGCTCTTTTTGTCAATAATCTTAATTTATATTGGGGTTATTTCCCACTTAAAAATTTTTTTTAATTATTTAAAATGTACCATATATAACATAAAAATTAGAAAATAAAACATACACAGAAATCTGTAATTTTGCACAACCAAATATTTCATGGGTCAAAGTTTAAACTTTCAGACGAAGTTTTTAAAAAAGCAGATCTATGAACTAAAAAGTAGCCTATACTCCTGAATTCAACCATAACAAAGGGACTTAATCTAATTTAATAGCACTGAGTCCTTCTATAGATTTTTACCTGTAGAAAATAAGACAAAATTGATCGAGTATTTAGCAAAACTAGTCTCTTTTTTATTGTGTAAACAGATAACAAGATAAAATAACTATATAACTCAGAACTTTAAAGTTTCTCATGTTTATGCTAGACATATTGTATTTTCAGATAATGCATGCTTTCTAAATTGTGTTATGAAAAATCCTTAAAACTATTCAATCAAATCAGGCCAATTATATATCTTGTTGACAATTTTCTTCCAACAATAATGTGTATCTAAAGGACACTAAATGTCTTATCTTGGAAAGAATTCCCCTCTTATTTCATCTAGCTAACTCTTACTATCTTTTAGGTCTCAAATGTTAACTTCTTCCAGAGGCCTTCCCCAAATCCAGATTATATGCCCTAGTTATATACTCCTGATACCACTTTCTACTTCCACTAACAAAGCATTTAAATACACTGTATTGCAACTGTCTAGAGGTCAAAAATAAAATTAGAACAGCCTCAAAGTGGTAGAGAAATCAACCCTTCAGATTAGGCTGCAGTTGTAAACAAGGTGGGGTGGGCAGAGGCAGGAGGGCCATAAGTGAGAAACTCCCTTGTAAAGGAGAAACGCTTTGCAAAGGCTTCTCAAAGTAGTGCGACAGCCAAACAGGACAGTAAGACTGACTGTATGCTGTGATTTACACTGATCCATTCACTTTTATAATAATATATATGATGGTTTAAAAATTAGATGAATCAATTTAAGAAAAAAGGTAATACACACTTTATTTTAAAGATTCACAAACTGGATAAACCTCACCTGTCATAGGATCAAAGAGCTGATTAGCTTCTAAGTCTGTGAAAGTACTACTACAGACAGGACATTTGAAGGAAGCCCGGTTGGTCGAATCTCTCTCATCGGTCTCAATTCTTCTTCTCATGTGGTCCAGTTTATATTTTACCACATTAACAAGAGTACGATAATTGATGAAGTAGTAGTTATGGCGAGTGGTTTTCCCGTCTGCAGCAGTCTCTACCCTCATTCTGCATTTGATAAACTTGTCTCCCTTTAAATTATTCAAAACTGATCGAAGTTGCTTCCGATCAAACTTGAGCAGCTCCAGCATATCCTCCTCTTTCACACAGGAGTTCCTGATCAAGATGTCCAAGGCCAAGGCATGCTCAATGCCATAAAATCCCCGGATCACATACTTGGCTAACCGCTTCAATGCTGCTGGAACTTCAGTGAGGACATCTGGGTCTGCCATCTTTAGCAACGAACTCCAACTTTAAATATACTGAATTCAAAAAAAAACAGAAAATTAGCCAGGTATAAGAACATGGTAATCATATCCACTATCCTTGCAGTGCCAGAAAAGTACCCAAAGTGTTTAAAAAGATTTCTAATACCTAAGCATTTAACAGAGCAGAACAAGATTTTCCTCTAGAATGCACAAAAGATTACACCCAAAAAGCTTTACATATTTCTTAAATGGCTACTTTTATGATCTATAGTGTGTTTGATTAAAAAGTAACTTTTTATTTATAAAACAATATATTACGTCAAGTCTACTTTACTTCAGAAGAGAAACACAAAAAAAGCTACATGAAATGCTCACTATTCTTTGGGAATGCTGGAAACCCTGAGAAAACTAGCAGTTCGCATTTCCTAAAAGTGTCTTTGTTTCCTTTCTTGAGTAAAATTTTTCTACCAAGATTCTAGGATGTTTTACATAGTCATGCTTTCACAATAAAATCACAACAAACCAATAAACACATGAGTAATCACCACCTGGGGTGTTTGACAAAATCATTAACTGTTGTAAAACTGAAAGAAAGTAATACTTAGATCCAGACAGTTTTACCAACCTTGAAAAATTGAATCTGATAATCAAGGAAAGACCATCCAGTCCTTAAAAAGGTAGAAAATGAGGGAGGGAGAGCAGCCCAAAATATTCTTAAATACTGGATCCCTTGACAAAGCAGAAACTAAGTGTATCTCATTTCCGTACCATGACCCAGAAAGCTGTCTTCTCAAAGCCCACATTGGCATATAGTTTACTTTAAAAACCTGGGCTTCGGGCAGAGACACAACCAAAAAGGAGAATTTTAGACCAATATCCTTGATGAACATTGATGCAAAAATCCTCAATAAAATACTGGCAAACCGAATCCAGCAGCACATCAAAAAGCTTATTATCCACCATGATCAAGTGGGCTTCATCCCTGGGATGCAAGGCTGGTTCAATATACGCAAATCAATAAATGTAATCCAGCATATAAACAGAACCAAAGACAAAAACCACATGATTATCTCAATAGATGCAGAAAAGGCCTTTGACAAAATTCAACAACTCTTCATGCTAAAAACTCTCAATAAGTTAGGTATTGATGGGACGTATCTCAAAATAATAAGAGCTATCTATGACAAACCCACAGCCAATATCATACTGAATGGGCAAAACCTGGAAGCATTCCCTTTGAAAACTGGCACAAGACAGGGATGCCCTCTCTTACCACTCCTATTCAACATAGTGTTGGAAGTTCTGGCCAGGGCAATCAGGCAGGAGAAGGAAATAAAGGGTATTCAATTAGGAAAAGAGGAAGTCAAATTGTCTCTGTTTGCAGATGACATGATTGTATATCTAGAAAACCCCATTGTCTCAGCCCAAAATCTCCTTAAACTGATAAGCAACTTCAGCAAAAAGTCTCAGGACACAAAATCAATGTACAAAAATCACAAGCATTCTTATACACCAATAACAGACAAAAAGAGAGCCAAATCATGAGTGAACTCCCATTCACAATTGCTTCAAAGAGAATAAAATACCTAGGAATCCAACTTACAAGGGATGTGAAGGACCTCTTCAAGGACAACTACAAACCACTGCTCAATGAACTTAAAGAGGATACAAACAAATGGAAGAACATTCCATGCTCATGGGTAGGAAGAATCAATATCGTGAAAATGGCCATACTGCCCAAGGTAATTTATAGATTCAATGCCATCCCCATGAAGCTACCAATGACTTTCTTCACAGAATTGGAAAAAACTACTTTAAAGTTCATATGGAACCAAAAAAGAGCCCACACTGCCAAGTCAATCCTAAGCCAAAAGGACAAAGCTGGAGGCATCACGCTACCTGACTTCAAACTATACTACAAGGCTACAGTAACCAAAACAGCATGGTACTGGTACCAAAACAGAGATATAGACCAATGGAACACAACAGAGCCCTCAGAAATAACGCTGCATATCTACAACTATCTGATCTTTGACAAACCTGAGAAAAACAAGCAATGGGGAAAGGATTCCCTATTTAATAAATGGTGCTGGGAAAACTGGCTAGCCACATGGAGAAAGCTGAAACTGGATCCCTTCCTTACACCTTTTACAAAAATTAATTCAAGACGGGTTAAAGACTTAAATGTTAGACCTAAAACCATAAAAACCCTAGAAGAAAACCTAGGCATTACCATTCAGGACATAGGCATGGGCAAGGACTTCATGTCTAAAACACCAAAAGCAATGGCAACAAAAGCCAAAATTGACAAATGGGATCTAATTAAACTAAAGAGCTTCTGCACAGCAAAAGAAACTACCATCAGAGTGAACAGGCAACCTACAGAATGGGAGAAAATTTTTGCAACCTTTTCATCTGACAAAGGGCTAATAACCAGAATCTATAACGAACTCAAACAAATTTACAAGAAAAAAACAAACAACCCCATCAAAAAGTGGGCGAAGGACATGAACAGACACTTCTCAAAAGAAGACATTTATGCAGCCAAAAAACACATGAAAAAATGCTCACCATCACTGGCCATCAGAGAAATGCAAATCAAAACCACAATGAGATACCATCTCACACCAGTTAGAATGGCAATCATTAAAAAGTCAGGAAACAACAGGTGCTGGAGAGGATGTGGAGAAATAGGAACAGACTTTTACACTGTTGTTGGGACTATAAACTAGTTCAACCCTTGTGGAAGTCAGTGTGGCGATTCCTCAGGGATCTAGAACTAGAAATACCATTTGACCCAGCCATCCCATTACTGGGTATATACCCAAAGGACTATAAATCATGCTGTTATAGAGACACATGCACACGTATGTTTACTGCGGGACTACTCACAATAGCAAAGACTGGGAACCAACCCAAATGTCCAACAAGGATAGACTGGATTAAAAAATGTGGCACATATACACCATGGAATACTATGCAGCCATAAAAAAGGATGAGTTCATGTCCTTTGTAGGGACATGGATGAAATTGGAAACCATCATTCTCAGTAAACTATCGCAAGAACAAAAAACCAAACACCGCATATATCTCACTCATAGGTGGGAATTGAACAATGAGAACACATGGACACAGGAAGGCGAACATCACACACTGGGGCCTATTGTGGGGAGGAGGGAGCGGGGAGGGATAGCATTAGGAGATATACCTAATGTTAAATTACGAGTTAATGGGTGCAGCACACCAACATGGCACATGTATACATATGTAACTAACCTGCACATTGTGCACATGTACCCTAAAACTTAAAGTATAATAATAATAAAATAAAAATAATAAAAATAAAAAATAAAATAAAATAAAATAAAAACCTGGGCTTCGGGAGGTGGAGGTTGCTGTGAGCCAAGATTACACCATTGCACTCCAGCCTGGGCAACAAGAGCGAAACTCAGTCTCAAAAAAAAACAAAACAAAAAAACAAAACAACACAAAACTGGGCTTTGAAATTCAGAGTACACAGCCTGTGTTTTGGTAACTGTGTAATCCTGAGCAAATCCCTTAAACAATTTCAAGCCACCTTTTACTCGCTAAGAAGTAAGGATAGTATCAACTACCTCAGTGGAGTTGTTGTGATTAATAAGAATATAATTAAAGTGCTTAGGAAGGACAGCTTCCATATCAACTTAACATGTTCCAAACTAAAAATGGCTAGACTATCCACACAGATTAAATCAAGTTAAATTTCCCTAGGCCACAGGGAATTTGTTTTTCTTTTCATAGAGAGAGTGTCTTGCTCTGTTGTCCAGACTAGAGTTCGGTGGTGTGACTTGGCTCAGTGCAGTCTCAACCTCCTGGGCTCAAGCAATCTTCCCACCTCAAACTCCCCAGTAGCTGAGACTACGGGTGGACACCACCATGACTGACTAATTTTTGTGTTTTTTGTAGTGACAGGGTTTCACCATTTTGCCCAGGCTGGTCTCGAACTTCTGGGCTCAAGGGATCCACCTACCTTGGGGGCTTCCTAAAGTGCTGGGATTACAGATGTGAGCCACCACACCCAGCCCACAGGATAATTTTTTTTTTTTTTGGAGACAGGGTCTCGATCTGTCACCTAGGCTGGAGTGCAGTGGCGCAAGCTCGGCTCACTGCAACTTCTGCCTCACAGGTTCAAGCAATCCTCCTGCCTCAGCCTCCTGAGTTGCTGGGACTATAGGCATGCACCACCACGCCTGTCTAATTTTTGAATTTTTAGTAGAGACAGGGTTTCACCATCTTAGCCAGGCTCCACAGGATAATTTTTAAGAGAGACATCCCATTGAACTATTTCAATGGAGAATCATATTCTGTTATTAATACTAGTTTCAACTAACCCTTTTATTTGAAATCAGTGGTTATCAACCCAACAGATTTAATACTCTTTTTATAAGAAATATTTTTATATCCACAGTACCATACTATAAGGAAACTCTATACACCAATCTATAACCAATCTATGCATATATTTTGGGGGGAAAATATAAGGCCCTTCCTGTAATAAAGGAAAAGTAAAAGTCAGTCAAAAGAAAATACGTACTTTAGGTTATAAATACTCAGGTATGACTACATATTGTAAGATATAACAAAGTAGCACCTAGATCCAAATCTGTGAACTTAGAGCCTTCCTGCTACCCCAGGGCTTAAGGATGCCTGGGAAGTACCTGGGCTCGACACCAAAGTAGTACCACAGCATACTACTGGACACACTTTTCTCTCCTTTTCGGTTTGGTCTATACATTGTACTTGAACCCCGTTTTCATTTTTTGTTGTTTTACATCCTCAACAGTTGTCAGAACACAACATATGGCTTCAGAAACATTCAACAAAGAACAGCAGAAAAATGTCAACATAACCTGTTTCCAGGATTATTTCCTACTATTGTATTCTCCTTCCCTGCCCCATACATGCCATGCCCCAGACTAATAGTTCTCAAGCCTGGTTGTAAGGCAGAATCATCTAGGGAACGTTTTAAGAATACTGATCCTGGGCCCCACTCCTAAAGGTTTTGTCTCAGGTGGTCTGGGGCAGCCAGATTAGGCATCACACAAATTTTTAAAGCTCTTTAGGTGACTCTACTATGCAGCAAAAGTCCCTATTATATATCCTGCCAATGCTCATCCTGCATGGAGAGGTCCCTGTGCCACTTATTGCTCAGCCTGTTTCCTTTGCCTAAAACACCCTAGGGAGCTGTGAAGACTAAAATAAGGGAGTGATATGAGGACTTTACAATCCAACAGTTTTGGGGTTTAAATCTCAGTTCCAGTATTTCTTAGGCCCCCTGACCTCAGAAAATTCTCAGACTCAGTTTCTTCATATATAAAAAGTGATTAAGCCAAGTGCAGTGGCTACAGTGGCTAATACCTGTAATTGCAACACTTTGGGAGGCCAAGGTTGGGGGACTGTCAGAGCCCAGAAGTTGAAGACAAGCCTAGGAAACATAGTAAGACCCCATCTCTACAAAAATTTTAAAACTTAGCCAGGTATGGTGCCATGCACCTGTAGTACCAGCTGAGGTGGATCAATTGAGCCAGGAGGTCAAGGCTGCAATGAGCCATGATTGAGCCACTGCACACCAGCCTCGGTGACAGGACAGGACCCTCAAAAAAAAAAAAAGTGATTAATGGTGCCCTGCTCACACAGTTAATGTATGAACTCAGTGAGATAATTAATGCAAAGTGTTCTGCTTTCAGGGCTGGCATAAGAGTTCAATTAAGTACTGGCATTCATAATAAATCCCCTATTTAGAAAAATGACTCTTATACCAATATGAGGAACGGACTCAAGTGAGTGAAGGTGGAGGCAGTGTGGAATATTGGGGGTATAAAATCTAAACTAAGAAGGCAAAAAAATTGCAAGAAGAGAACAGAATGAATGAAAGTTATTACAGAAAAAAAAATCAAAAGGACCCAACAAAATATATTGGATACAGAATATGAGAGTAGGAAAAATCTTAAATAGCTCTCTGTTTTGAGCCAGCGTAGCTAGGAAAAGTACTGCCATGAGAAATAGGTGACCCCTGACGAGGAGCAGGAAGAAATGAGGAAATCACTTTTAGAAGTGTCTTTGAGGAAATACCATAGGATATTCCTCTGAATATGCCCAGCAGGTAGCTGAACAAATGAAACTAGAGCTCAGGAATGAAATCAAGCTGTGCCACTTTGTTCAAAATCTCTGCATTCTAAAATCCTCCTTCCTGACCACTACCTTCTCTCCTCCATCACTTCCCACTCACGCTGAATCTCCTTACTCAATCTCTAGAGGTCTTAGGTAAGAGTTCTCAAACTGGCAGCCCCCCACGCATTGTATCACCCAAAGAATGTTTCAAAAATTTTCTGAATTAGTTGTCAACATTTAAAAATTGTAAGAGTTCACATAAATTTCAACTTCCAGCTCCTCTTGCAAAATTGGAAATATCTGAGGAAAAAGTGAGCCCATGTTCCCACATGGAAACAATAAGCTGAAGCCGAATAGCAGCTGGCGTTATTAGGGAAGGAGTATGGCTGGTCTCTGGAGACTTCTGAGCGTGGGACCTCCTAGGACCTTTGTTTCTTCCTTTGATCTCCATAGTCCATGAGTCAGATCCCAGCCTCACCTCCCTACCCCAGCCCAGACCCACGTGTATTTTAATCATATCAACATTTAAGGACTACTGTGCACCAGGCACGGAGCCAGAGAAACAAAGTTGAAAAGAAGGCACCCTCTGCCCTCTGTCTACCCTGTCAGCCTCATAACCAGCCACACCAGCATATTCTCAATTCCATGAGCCACATGTGCTTTCCCTGCATCCCAAGGCTTTGCACATGCTGTTCCTTCTGCCCCTACAGCTAAGCCCAAACCCCCTTCTCCTAATCATCCTTCAAGTCTCAAATGATATTTCCTCATGGAGGCCTTCCCAGACTCCCCATTAAGTAGCATACAATCATCCCCTTTCACGTGTTCCATGGCTCTTTCCCCCTTCTTGTACTTTCTCCATGTCTATCTCTAAGACCAGACTTCATCTTGTTCACCAATTAATTTCCAGCATCTAGCATAGCCAGACAAGTACTTCCATAAAACTTTCCATATGTCTCCTAGGCACGTTTTGTTCCAACATGGCTCATCTTGCCAGCTTCCCCCTGCTTCACTTCCTCCACTCTTGTTTCCAAGGTAGAATCGGACAGGCTACTGGGCACTCTCTTCTTAAATTTAAAACAGTTTTAAGCGGGAGGTGCGTGGATCAAATTCAGGATGTTAAAAGATTGTACTGACTGCAGAGTGGAGAAAAAAACAAGAAAAGTGGATGCGAAGAGACCAGTTAGATTACTTCAGTAAATCGCCACTCCAGTTCTAGAACAACTTGGGATTCTACACATCTAACTGCGGTGTTGTGTTACCACATTTCATGGCACTTTCCACGCCTTCACACACACAGCGGCAAACTACCGCGAAACCTCCGGACCCAGCTGCCCTCCACGAGACGCGTTCGGTGATATGCACTCCTCCCCAATGCGAGACTCCGAGACCCCAAACTCCCTCGGACTCTCCCAGTTGGGTCCAGGGCCACACTCGGCGCAGCCAAGCCCGCCCTACCCGAGGTCGCACACGGGCCGCTCCGGGGTCAATGGTTCTTTGGAGGACCAAGAGGACCAAGGCAACAGGGTAATTCATTAGGGGAGGATAGTTAAGAGGGAGCGAAAGGAAGAAGAAATCATGAAATGCAATGCCCGGCCAGGGAACTCCGAACAAGGAACAGGGAACAAGGTTTACCAAGGCGAATCCTGGAACACTCCCACTACAGCTGCCCCCAGCGCTTCAACTACCGGCTTAAATGAACCACGCCCCTTGCGCGACAAAGAAAACGCACTATTCCTGCGACCAGCTGGGGAAGCACCCCGCTACCTTTTACCAGACCAGCCAATGAGTTCAGTGAAACCTTCGATCAAGACAGTCACGCTCCGAGTGGCCAATGAAATTGAAGGCTCTGCCCTCCATGCCCAACTCTGATTGGCTTACAATCCAGGAACAGGCGTTAACCCAGGGAAGGCAGTGGCAAGATGGCGTCCCTGGATCGGGTGAAGGTACTGGTGTTGGGAGACTCAGGTGAGCGGCTTACCCTACCTCTGGGGCTCCAGACACTTTTGAGTTACCCAGTAACCCTCCCCTTAGCTTCCTTCCCTCAACTTCCTGGCTCCTCGGCCCGTGGCTGAAGTCCCTCCCAGGGCCTGAAGACTACACTTCCCAGGGGACTTTGCTCCGTGTGACGACGCGGTGGCGGCGGCGTCGTCGCGCGGGTGGGGGTCGCGGAGCCCGGGTCTTTTGCCTTCGCGGCTTTCCGCATCGGTCTCCCAGGCGACCCCAGCCTAGAGTGTATTGTCAATTCTTTTATTAAAAAAAAAAAAAAAAAAAGCAGGCATTGAGTATTGTATGGGGTTCTATGTTAAGGGTACAGAAGTTAGTAGGACCGTGCCTTCAAGAGATTTTGTTCATTAAGGAAGTCAAACGTGCACTGAGAAACGTGCACTGAGAAACGTGCACTGGCAAGCGCTTCGCATGTATTAACTCATTTAATTCTGAGACAGTCCTGTTATCCCATTTTACAGATGAGAGTAGTGAGGCAGAGAGATGTAAATGACAGAATCCTTTTGAACGCGGAGTCCACGAACTTAAACGCTAAGTTATAATTATGCAGTGACATATTGGGTAGTGGTCCTGTTTTATTCTTAACTGAGCTTAATTTCCTGGTTCTCGTTTGATCTTCATTGAAAACCTATTATGTCCTAGACTGTACAATAGAGAAATTAAAGTAAGAGTTTTATTCTGAAGCAGCTAGGATTTAACGCTGAGCCCAATTTAATCCTAGTGTTAAATATATATATATTTTTTTAATCTCAGTGGATGCAAAAAGAATTCTTTTGACACCTGGGACATTTGAGAACTACAGCTGGCGTCTGGATTTCCAGCTCCCACCTCACTGCCCTTATCTTTTCTTCCATAATCCCCAATTCAGCTCTCCTTAGTAACTTCAATAAATGCTGACCTTGCATTTTATAGAAGCGCTCCTCTGGAGTTGGCCTAAGAGCATGTGTTGTGAGCAAAGACGTTGTGCTAGATGCTTGGAGGTGGAGAGGCTTGAAAACTTAATAGAAACTAAATAAAATTGTGGGCAGCAAATATAGGTTAAGAATGTTTTCACATTGCCCTGAGGATTATTTGCATTATGAAATATTTTACAGAGAGCATTATTTAATATTCCCCTAAGAAAGTTGCCTTTTGAAACTTAATGAACATAATCACAATTTATGTCGACTTCATTTCTATCAGGTAGCTTGAAGTGGTGCCGAAGTTAATTTAATAAAATCACTCAGTTTTACAGATAAAGTAATTGTGGCCTAAAGGGACTTGGCAAGAGTATCACTGAGTAGAATTTACAATCCAGAACTAACAGACTTCTTCATGATACGTTAAGTGGGTGTTTTGTGTCCTTTATAATTCCATTTTCTATTGTATCTAACAATCCCTTCATATTACAAACTGTTGCAACTAGTCAATTTATTTTCTTTCCAACAGGCACTGTATTAGGTTCTGGGGTTATAACTGTGGAATTAATGCGTCATATAACAGGGATAGAATTAGCAGCTACATTAAATGTGGAAAAGTAATCAGGCAATTGATAAGCTTCCCTACTGCCCGCCTCCCCTGTTATGGTTTAGTTGTAAAGCAGAAGACACAGCTGTGATGGCCAGGAAAGTGATTGATGTTGTCACACATTCACTAATGTTAACCTTTATGTGCAAAGTTAGTTATTGTCTTTTTATCTTTTTAAAAGGTAATTTTGTCAGTCTCCTTTTAACTGCGATTTAAAAGTACACAGTCTGACAGTTTAGAATGCACTTTTTACACTTCCTCAGCCTTTCTTTCAAACCCGAAAGTTTATTTTTAAATAAAGGCCATTTCCCTTATAAAATTTTGAGGGTTTCACAAATATATAAAGAAATGACTTAGCCAGACAAGGTGGCTCTAGCCTATAATCCCAGCACTTTGGGAGGTTGAGGCGGGTGGATTGCTTGAGCTCAGTTCAAGACTAGCCTGGGCAACATGGCAAGACCCTCTCTCTACCAAAAACAGTACAGAAAGTTAGCCGGGCATGGTGGTGCACGCCTGTAGTCCCGCTACTCAGGAGGCTGAGGTGAGAAGATCACTTGAGCCCAGGAATTTGAGGCTGCAGTGAGCTAGGATCGTGCCACTGCACTCTAGCCTGGGTGATAGAGTGAGACCCTGTCTCCAAGAAAAAAAAATAAAAAGAATAAGTTGATATTTGGTGATTTGTTTTTATCCTATTGAGATATTTGGTAATTTGGTAAGGAACCCTGAAAGTCTCACTACCATACGGTTTTCTCTTTCTTTCAGAGATTAGGGACTAGTTTAACATATTACCAAACAGCTGTATTTGGAGCTGACATTTATTTATATTGGGCCTTTTTTACCCCCAAGCAAATCAAGTGCATTCTTTTGATCAAATTTAGTTCTAAAGGTGAAAACATAGAATCAGAATCTCCCAAAATTCTTAAAGAAATGAAATTCGCCATTATTCCCTAGCACTTCAACTGTTCTTACTGTTTAGGGTTTCATCCCTTCTTAGCTAATACTTATCACCCAAAGCAGTTAATTCATGGAGAGCTATACAATTCTACTGCCTGGAAATGTTTACCCTAACACAATTAAGCTAAACTAGGCCTCAAGTGTTGCATCAAGCTGATAATTAAGTGGATAGATACATTCCTTGAACATAAACAAACCTATTTACAAATACAGAATCAACAATACATCCTAAAAGTTACAGATATTAGACACAATGCAGTAAATTCAATGACAAATATAATTTTGAGTATTTAAAAATCTTAAATGTTTCTATATAAAAAAAGTAATAAAAGGGAAGCCTGAGAAAATGTTTGATTCAATTACACATACGTAAAATGATTAATATATTTAATAGATAAAGAGCTCATATAAATTAATGACACTAAAACCTGGTAGATAAAGGTACAGAGTAGATCAACAGAGAATTTATGAGAGGAAAAACAACTGATTTGCCAGAATAATCATAATGATAATCTTTGATCTTTATCAGAAAGTAAAGAAATGCAGACTAAAGCAAGCTGTCACTCCCCCACTGCCCGCCACCACCGAGACGGATTGTTGCTCTGTCACCCAGGCTGGAGTGCAGTGGCGCAATCTCGGCTCACTGCAGCCTCTGCCTCCTGGGTTCAAGTGATTCTCTTGCCTCAGCCTCCCAAGTAGCTGGGATTACAGGCACCCACCACCACGCCCAGCTAATTTTTGTATTTTTAGTAGAGACAGGGTTTCACCATTTTGGCCAGGCTGGTCTCGAACTCCTGACCTCGTGATCTGCCTGCCTCAGCCTCCCAAAGTGCTGGGATTACAGGTGTGAGCCAACGCACCTGGCCAAGATGTCACTTTTATTCCTTTATCAGGTTAACAAGGATGAAAAGCCAACTACATGATACTGTTGAGGTGCAACAAGACCTGCAGGCTCAAGTGTATGGCTGGTGGCAGTATAACCCCATGAAAGTTATTTCTCAATGCATATCAAGAACTTTAAATGTTTCCTTTTAAGTACTGAGTTTACTCCTGGGAAGGTATACTAAGGACATAATTTTAATTTTAAACAAAGGTTTAAACAGAAATAACCTTTCACTAGCATATCAAAAATTTCAAAACACCCTAAATATCTAATAATAATGGAAGAATGATTAAGTAAATTTTTATGCCTACTTTCTGAAGTACTATGGAGATACTTTAAATGTTTATGAAGATTTTGGAATAATATGGAAACTTTTAATAAATACTAATTAAGGTTCTGATCTAAATACTAGAGATAAAAAAGCTGCGTAAGAACCCTCAAGGAACTTAAAATTAAGGGAGTGGTTCCAAGATGACCAATTAGGAACAGCTCCAGTCTACAGCTCCCAGCGTGAGCGACGCAGAAGACAGGTGATTTCTGCATTTCCAACGAGGTACCAAGTTCATTTCACTGGGGCTTGTCAGACCGTGGGGGCAGGACAGTGGGTGCAGCCCACTGTGTGTGAGCCAAAGAAGCGCAAGGAGTCAGGGAATTCCCTTTCCTAGCCAAGGGAAGCGGTGACAGACAGCACCTGGAAAATTGGGTCCCTCCCACCCTAATACTGTGCTTTTCCAATGGTCTTAGCAAACAGCACACCAGGAGATTATATCTCTGACCTGGCTCAGAGGGTGCCACACCCACGGAGCCTTGCTCATTGCTAGCACAGCAGTCTGAGATCTGCAAGGTGGCAGTGAGGCTGGGGGAGGGGCGCCCGCCATTGATGAAGCTTGAGTAAGTAAACAAAGAGGCCAGGAAGCTCGAACTGGGTGGAGCCCACCGCAGCTCAAGGAGGCCTGTGTGCCTCTGTAGACTCCACCTCGGAGGGCAGGGCATAGCCTGAAACCTCTGCAGACTTAAATGTCCCTGTCGGACAGCTTTGAAGTGAGTAGTGGTTCTCCCAGCACAGAGTTTGAGAACAGACAGATTGCCCCCTCAAGTGGGTCCCTGACCCCCGAGTAGCCTAACTGGGAGGCACCCTCCAGTAGGGGCAGACTGACACCTCACATGGCCCAGTACCCCGCTGAGAAAAAGCTTCCAGAGGAATGAATGATCAGGCAGCAACATTTGCTGTTCAGCAATATTCGCTGTTCTGCCACCTCTGCTGCTGATGCCCAGGCAAACAGGGTCTGGAGCGGACCTCCATCAAAATCCAACAGACCTGCAGCTGAGGGTCCTGACTGTTAGAAGGAAAACTGACAAACAGAAAGGACATCCACAACAAAACCCCATCTGTCCGACTCCATCATCAAAGACCAAAGGTAGATAAAACCACAAAGATGGGGAAAAAACAGAGCAGAAAAGCTGAAAAGTCTAAAAATCAGAGCACCTCTCCCCCTGCAAAGAAACGCAGCTCCTCGCCAGCAAAGGAACAAAGCTGGATGGAGAATGACTTTCACAAGTTGAGAGAAGAAGTCTTCAGATGATCAAACTTCTCCGAGCTAAAGGACGAAGTTCAAACCCATTGCAAAGAAGCTAAAAACCTTGAAAAAAGATTAGCTGAATGGCTAACTAGAATAACCAATGTAGAGAAGTCCTTAAATGACCTGTTGGAGCTGAAAACCATGGCACAAGAACTACGTGATGATGCACAAGCTTCAGTAGCCGATTTGATCAACTGGAAGAAAGGGTATCAGTGATGGAAGATCAAATGTATGAAATTAAGTGAGAAGAGAAGTTTAGAGAAAAAAGAGTAAAAAGAACGAACAAAGGCTCCAAGAAATATGGGACTATGTGCAAATACCAAATCTATGTCTGATTGGTGTACCTGAAAGTGACAGGGAGAATGGAACCAAGTTGGAAAACACTCTGCAGGATATTATCCAGGAGAAGTTCCCCAACGTAGCAAGGCAGGCCAACATTCAAATTCAGGAAATACAGAGAACGCCACAAAGATACTCCTCAAGAGGAGCAACTCCAAGACATGTAATTGTCAGATTCACCAAAGTTGAAATGAAGGAAAAAATGTTAAGGGCAGCCAGAGAGAAAAGTCAGGTTACCCACAAAGGGAAGCCCATCAGCGTATCTCTCAGCAGAAACTCTACAAACCAGAAGAGAGTGAGGACCAATATTCAACATTCTTAAAGAAAAGAATTTTCAACCCAGAATTTCATATCCAGCCAAACTAAGCTTCATAAATGAAGGAGAAATAAAATACTTGACAGACAAGCAAATGCTGAGAGATTTTGTCACCACCAGGCCTGCCCTAAAAGAGCTCCTGAAGGAAGCACTAAACATGGAAAGGAACAACTGGTACCAGCCACTGCAAAAACATGCCAAATTGTAAAGACCATTGAGGCTAGGAAGAAACTGCATCAACTAATGAGCAAAATAACCAGCTAACATCATGATGACAGGATCAAATTCACACATAACAATATTAACCTTAAATGTAAGTGGGCTAAATGCTCCAATTAAAAGACAGACTGGCAAATTGTCAAGACCCATCAGTGTGCTGTATTCAGGAGACCCAGCTCATGTACAGAGACACACATAGGCTCAAAATAAAGGGATGGAGGAAGATCTACCAAGCAAATGGAAAACAAAAAAAGGCAGGGTTTGCAATCCTAGTTTCTGATAAAACAGACTTTAAACAACAAAGATCAAAAGAGACAAAGAAGGCCATTACATAATGGTAAAGGGATCAATTCAACAAGAACAGCTAACTATCCTAAACATATATGCACCCAATACAGGAGCACCCAGATTCATAAAGCAAGTCCTTGGAGACCTACAAAGACACTTAGACTCCCACGCAATAAAAATGGGAGACTTTAACACCCCACTGTCAACATTAGACAGATCAACAAGACAGAAAGTTAACAAGCATATCCAGGAATTGAACTCACCTCTGCACCAAGCGGACCTAATAGACCTCTACAGAACTCTCCATCCCAAATCAACAGAATATACATTCTTCTCAGCACCACATCACACTTATTGCAAAACTGACCACACAGTTGGAATAAAGCAATCCTCAGTAAATGTAAAAGAACAGTAGTTGTAACAAACTGTCTCTCAGACCACAGTGCTGTCAAACTAGAACTCAGGATTGAGAAACTCACTCAAAACCGCTCAACTGCATGGAAACTGAACAACCTACTCCTGAATGACTACTGGGTACATAATGAAATGAAGGCAGAAATGAAGATGTTCTTTGAAACCAATGGGAACAAAGACACAGCATACCAGAATCTCTGGGACACATTTAAAGCAGTGTGTAGAGGGAAATTTATAGCACTAAATGCCCACAAGAGAAAGCAGGAAAGATCTAAAACTGACACCCTAACATCACAATTAAAAGAACTAGAGAAGCAAGAGCAAACACATTCAAAAGCTAGCAGAAGGCAAGAAATAACTAAGATCAGAGCAGAACTGAAGGACATAGAGACACAAAAAACCCTTCAAAAAATCAATGAATCCAGGAGCTGGTTTTTTGAAAAGATCAACAAAATTGATAGACCACTAGCAAGACTAATAAAGAAGACAAGACAGAAGAATCAAACAGACGCAATAAAAAATGATAAAGGGGATATCACCACCGATCCCACAGAAATACAAACTACCATCAGAGAATACTAAAAACACCTCTACGCAAATAAACTAAAAAATCTAGAAGAAATGGATAAATTCCTGGACACATACACCCTCCCAAGACTAAACCAGGAAGAAGTTGAATCTCTGAATAGACCAATAACAGGCTTGGAAATTGAGGCAATAATTAATAGCCTACCAACCAAAAAAAGTCCAGGACCAGATGGATTCAAAGCTGAATTCTACCAGAGGTACAAGGAGGAGCTGGTACCATTCCTTCTGAAACTATTCCAATCAACGGAAAAAGAGGGAACCCTCCCTAACTCATTTTACGAGGCCAGCATCATCCTGATACCAAAGCCTGGCAGAGACACAACAAAAAAAGAGAATTTTAGACCAATATCCCTGATGAACATCAATGCAAAAATCCTCAATAAAATACTGGCAAACCGAATCCAGCAGCACATCAAAAAGCTTATCTACCATGATCAAGTGGGCTTCATCCCTGGGATGCAAGGCTGGTTCAACATGTGCAAATCAATAAATATAATCCAGCATATAAACAGAACCAAAGACAAAAACCACATGATTATCTCAATAGATGCAGAAAAGGTCTTTGACAAAATTCTACAGCCCTTTGTGCTAAAAACTCTCAATAAATTAGGTATTGATGGGACATATCTCAAAATAATAAGAGCTATTTATGGCAAACCCACAGCCAGTATGATACTGAATGGGCAAAAACTGGAAGCATTCACTTTGAAAACTGGCACAAGACAAGGATGCCCTCTCTCACCACTCCTATTCAACATAGTGTTGGAAGTTCTGGCCAGGGCAATCAGGCAGGAGAAGGAAATAAAGGGTATTCAATTAGGAAAAGAGGAAGTCAAATTGTCTCTGTTTGCAGATGACATGATAGTATATCCAGAAAACCCCATCGTCTCAGCCCAAAATCTCCGTAAGCTGATAAGCTACTTCAGCAAAGTCTCAGGATACAAAATCAATGTGCAAAAATCACAAGCATTCTTATACACCAATAACAGACAAACAGCCAAATCATGAGTGAACTCCCCATTCACAATTGCTTCAAAGAGAATAAAATACCTAGGAATCCAACTTACAAGGGATGTGAAGGACCTCTTCAAGGAGAATTACAAACCACTGCTCAACGAAGTAAAAGAGGACACAAATAATTGGAAGAACATTCCATGCTCATGGGTAGGAAGAATCAATATCATGAAAATGGCCATACTGCCCAAGGTAATTTATAGATTCAATGCCATCCCCATCAAGCTACCAATGACCTTATTCACAGAATTGGAAAAAACTAAAGTTCACGTGGAACCAAAAAAGCGCCCACATTTCGAAGACAATCCTAAGCTAAAAGAACAAAGCTGGAGGCATCACGCTACCTGACTTCAAACTACACTACAAGGCTGTAGTAACCAAAACAGCATGGTACTGGTACCAAAACAGAGATATAGACCAATGGAACAGAACAGAGCCCTACACATCTACACATCTACAACCATCTAATCTTTGACAAACCTGAGAAAAACAAGCAATGGGGAAAGGATTCCCTATTTAATAAGTGGTGCTGGGAAAACTGGCTAGCCATATGTAGAAAGCTGAAACTGGATCCCTTCCTTACACCTTATACAAAAATTAATTCAAGATGGATTAAAGACTTAAACGTTAGACCTAAAACCATAAAAACCCTAGAAGAAAACCTAGGCAATACCATTCCGGACATAGGCATGGGCAAGGACTTCATGTCTAAAACACCAAAAGCAATGGCAACAAAAGCCAAAATTGACAAATGGGATCTAATTAAACTAGCTTCTGCACAGCAAAAGAAACTACCATCAGAGTGAACAGGCAACCTACAGAATGGGAGAAAATGTTTGCAATCTACTCATCTGACAAAGGGCTAATATCCAGAATCTACAATGAACTCCAACAAATTTACAAGAAAAAAACAACCCCATCAACACGTGGGCGAAGGACATAAACAGACACTTCTCAAAAGAAGACATTTATGCAGCCAAAAGACACATGAAAAAATGCTCATCATCACTGGCCATCAGAGAAATGCAAATCAAAACCACAATGAGGTACCATTTCACTCCAGTTAGAATGGCGATCATTAAAAAGTCATGAAAAAACAGGTGCTGGAGAGGATGTGGAGAAATAGGAACGCTTCTACACTGTTGGTGGAACTGTAAACTAGTTCATCCATTGTGGAAGAGAGTGGGGCGATTTCTCAAGGATCTAGAGCTAGAAATACCATTTGACCCGGCCATCCCGTTACTGGGTATATACCCAAAGGACTATAAATCATGCTGCTATAAAGACACATGCACACGTATGTTTACTGCAGCACTATTCACAATAGCAAAGACTTGGAACCAACCCAAATGTCCATCAATGATAGACTGGATTAAGAAAATGTGACACATATACACCATGGAATACTATGCAGCCATAAAAAATGATGAGTTCATGTCCTTTGCAGGGACATGGATGAAGCTGGAAACCATCATTCTGAGCAAACTATCGCAAGGACAAAAAACCAAACACCACTTGTTCTCACTCATAGGTGGGAATTGAACAATGAGAACACTTGGACACAGGAAGGGAACATCACACACCAGGGCCTGTTGTGGGGTAGGGGGAGGGGGGAGGGATAGCACTGGGAGACATACCTAGTGTAAATGACGAGTTAATGGGTGCAGCACACCAACATGGTGCATGTATACATATGTAACAAAGCTGCACATTGTGCACATGTACCCTAGAACTTAAAGTATAATAATAAAATAAACAAATAAATAAATAAAATAAAACATATTTCTTTATACAGGGCATTCTTCTCCACTGCAAATAAATCAACAGATGGCATCATTTTTTTAAGATGAATAAAAATCCAACATCCAATCAAAAAAAATCAAAGTTAATAAAACCTATAAATAAACACATGTAATAATGTGTTTTAAGTGCTCTCTAGGAAAATGTACAGGGTACAGTGGAGGCCCAGAGAATAGTGGATGCTATGCTTAGTTCTCCCTATGTGGGTTCAGAAAATACTTTATAACTAGAATGATGCTGACTCTCCAAAGATTAATTCACCAGGCCAATGGGTGAGGGAAGGGAGAGGATGGGTAGGATATTCCAGACAGAACAAGCTATGGAAGCAGACGCTTATGTTGTTTTATTGTTTTTAAGTATACTGTGTATATAATCACAATAACCACCTGCTCATAGAAAAACTTTTCTTGTGGAATTAAATAAACCTTCATGTTGACAGTAGTCTTAAGGTGATTTTTTTTTGTAGACAGTGTCTCGCTCTGTCACCCAGGCTAGAGTACAGCAGTGTGATCATAGCTCACTGCAGCCTCCAACTCCTGAGCTCAAGGGATCATCCTGCCTCAGCCTGCTGAGTAGCTAGGACTACAGACGCAGGCCACCATGCCTGGCTAATTTCTTTAAAATTTATTTTTTGTAGAGATGCAGTCTTGCTATGTTGCCCAGGCTGGTCGCAAACTCCTGGGCTCAAGTGATCCTCCTGCCTCAGCCTCCCAAAGCACTGGGAGTACAGACGTGAGCCACCGTGCCTGGCCCTCATTTGTGCATACTTTCTAGATTGTAAATATAACTTTTTATAATAAAAAATAAACAATAGGTTCCTACACAGTATGATCAAAGAGATGATCTAAATTTTTGATAAAACTAGTGATTTGTAAAGATACCAACCATGCTTGTCATAATGGAACCCCAAAAATGCCGTTAAATGAATGAGTGACTCCACACATGGATGTAGAGGAAGAGCTCATTCCCTTTCCTCTTCATACAAATCTCTCAATGCTACCCTTAGAATGAATAACTAGATTTCCCTGAGCCTAAGAAATCTAAAAGAAGACCAAATGGTGACTTAAAGGGCCATGATGTAGAAGAGGTAGTAGACCTTTTTTCCAAAAGGTAAGTCTTGGCTAAGTGGTTGGCTGCTTTTTTTAAATCACTATGTGGGACAACTGGAGTGTCTAAATTTAGAATTGTGAAATGGTGAATCCCTCTCACTGACAGTATTCAAGCACAGTCTGGAAGACCCTCTAACAGGATGCCATGGAGGGGACCTCAGCATTGGTGTGCAGGAGAGAGGGATTACTTCTCAGATCTGTTAAGATTCTACAACTCTAAAATAGGCTAAATTGATTAAATCATTCAAAAGGAAAGGGATTCATTAATATGAAATTGACCTGGACCAGTGGTTCTCAAAGTGAGACCCCTGGACCAGTATCAGTATCACTTGGGAACTTGTTAGAAATCTTGGGCCCCAAGACAGACCCGCTAAATCAGAAAGTCTGGGGGTGGAGCCCAGCATTCCATGTTTTAACTCACCCTCCGGGTGATTCTGATGCAAATTTGAGAGAACCGCTGCCCTCTACCATCTTCATTTTATTCAGTGAAGCTTATATTGTTGGTATGGCATTCTAACAACTATGCTTTACTTAACATTATTCCTGTGTAGTATTAGTCTTACTCTTTCCAAAACAGATTTCAGCCTTGTCTCTTATGTGACTAGAGTTCTTGTATCTCTTACAGGTGTTGGGAAATCTTCGTTAGTCCATCTCCTATGCCAAAATCAAGTGCTGGGAAATCCATCATGGACTGTGGGCTGCTCAGTGGATGTCAGAGTATGTGTCTTTTATATTTTAGTTTTTCAATAATGTACTAAAGATAACTGCTTCAAATTACATGATCAAATTACAGTACTATGGTCAAGATCAATAGTAATAGCTGGGATTTATTACATTCATACTATGTGCCAGGTACTATGCCAGTTGCTTTACATGTCCCTTCTTATTTCACCTTTTTAAAACTGAGATGTGTAGATGCAGAAACTAAGGCAGAGTCAAGATTTGAACAGTTTTTCTGATGCCACAGACTTCAGTTTTAATCACTATGCCATATATCTAGAGTTCACATAGCATCCTCCGTAAATAATTCTGCCTAAGCTTGTGCTATTAAGACTGCCAACTTTCAGCTAGAAATATAATGTAAAGGCAAAAGCTCCTGGAGCTTCATGTCTGGGTCATTTGTTCCATCTTGTGTTTAGGAATTAGGTATAGTTTTAATTAAATTAAATATCTTCCCAGATATCATTGGTCTTTGCTAATGCCAGCTAGTTCTGACAAGTCTCTCATCTGCTGGCACACCTCTCTCCTTTGAGTTAAGACACACATACGGAAGGCAAGGTAGTTGGCTAGATTGATAGTTATTTTCCTTCTGTTCTTTGAAGCTATTGTTCCATAGCTCTGATTTACATTGCTGCTGATTAGAAATCTTCCGTAAGACTAATTATTATTTCTTTTTAATGTAATTTCTTCTTTGGTTGCTTTTAAAATATTTTTTGTGTTTTTTTTTAATCTTTGATATTTTGTTGTTTTGCTAACCTATGTCTAGGTGTAGATTTGTTTTTATTCATCCTATTCAGAAGTAGTCATGGTTCTCATCTCTTTATTTTTCAGAATTTTAAGCCATTATCTGTCTTGCCTCATTTCTTCTATCCCTTCCTCTTGACTTTCTATGAGATTTTTGTTCTTCATAACTGTTAATATTTCTCCTTGCTGCCTTCTGGATGATGTACTCATATCTGCCTTCCAGTTAACTAAGAATCTCTTCAATTATATCTAATCTGCTTTTTAATATATCTATACAGTTTTTCATTCCAAGTACCTATACTTTTTAATTTCTAGATGTTCCTTTTAGTTCTTTTTAAAATGTAAAAATTTTCCAAAATGTCCTGATCCTTCATTATGGTGTCTGCTTTTTATTTTAATAATTTCCAACATACTTATTTTATGGTTTCTTTTGGATTATTTTATTTTTTCTGGAGGAGAGGTAGCTATGCTCCTTGCTGTATATGCTACTCTACTTCATGGAAATGTATCTCCTTGTATGGCTTGTAATTCTTTAAGATGATCACATCTTCAACAGGATTTTTTTCCTCTCCCTTTGGAAGTCCTGTATGCTGTATTGTGAAAGTATCCCTATACAGCGCCTTTTCATTTCTGTCATTGCCAAGACCGTAAGGATTTCAATTTCTCAGCTCAGATAATGTAAATCTAGATAATGTAAATTCCTCCAGCATCTGATTGTAGCACAGACCTATAGTTTCCATTTCTTGTGGACTATTTATCTTCTGTCTACCTTCTGTCTGAGGTCCCTGACAGAAAGTTTTTGCCGTTTCCCTGAGCCTATGGACAATGTTTTTCTTGTCTTGTCTTCTCTCTTTTCACTGACTGGGCACCTCATCAAAGGTCCGGATTTCAAAAAGGCATCTATAGTCTAGTCTTCATCACTCACTCACATATACTTTTGCCTTGAATGCTGGAAAACAGGTCTGCTATTCCTGAATGGGCATTAAGACTCCAGGCACCAACCCCTGAAGCTATATCTGAATCTATGTCAGTTCCCACTTCTCACTCTGATTTTAAGTTTTTTCTTCATTTCTAGCATTTGGGGATATTCCTTTCTTTCTCCTAACTTTCTCTTGAGCTAGTCTTCTCTGCCTCTCCTCTCTGTACTCTTTCTCTCTGTCTCAAAATATTTTTATAGCATTTCTATAAGTTTGAAGTAGGAGCGGACCTATTTTGTGTCATTTTTTTTTCTTTTTTGTTTATTATTATTATACTTTAAGTTTTAGGGTACATGTGCACAATGTGCAGGTTAGTTACAAATGTATACATGTGCCATGCTAGTGTGCTGCACCCATTAACTCGTCATTTAGCATTAGGTATATCTCCTAATGCTATTTTGTGTCATTTTAGCCAACCATCTTCCTAAATTCAGTGGCAACTTTATTTAGGTTTGGGAGACCCAATAGCAAGTTCTGGACAAATTTTCCCTTTGGATTTTTCTAGCTCCGATTCTGTGAAAGAGCATGACATATTGAAAAGAAACTTAGATTTAAACACTCACCTCCTGAGTCAATTGCCCTTCGCTTCTGAAAGAGTGACCTTAGACTAATCAGTTTACCTCTTTGAGGCATGGTTATATCATCTGGAAAACAGAGGTCAATAATATGTGCTTTATTGAGTCTACAGGTTTGTAGGAAGGATCAGAGAAGCTTAATAAATGGGAAGTTATGGTCTAGTCCTTTACAATGTGAAGTTGTAATTGAACTTTAGTCCAATTTTCTGCCCCTTCCCTTCCTCCTGCCCTACTCCTTTTCCTATCCCCACCCAGTGCCCATTCTATTCATGTTGTTCACCTTTTGTCTTGGTTTTCTTTCCCACTTGTCTTATTGAATTAGCTGAAACTCCAGTACAATGTTGAATAGAAGTGGCACCAACAAGCATCTTTGTTTCATTCCCATCTCATGGGAAATTTTCAGTATAACACTATTTAGTAAAGTATTTGCTGGAGGATTTTTTATGGGTATATTTGATTAGATTAAAGAAATGTCCTTCTATTCCTATTACAATGAGAGTTTGTATCATGAATGGATATTCAATTTTACCAGTTGCCTCTTCATGATAATCATGATTTTTCTGATTTATTCCATTACTGTGGTAAATTATGTTGATTAATTTTTTGAATGTTAAACCAACCTTGCAATCCTGTAATAACTCTAACTTGGTCTTGTGCTGCTCTTTTCATATATCACTAGATTTAATTTGCTAATATTTTTCTTAGACATTTGCATCTAAATTCATTGGAAAGATTGTCCCATCATTTTCTTTTCTTGTAATCTCATTGTGGGTTTTCTATCAGGCTTATGCTAACCTTATAAAATAAGTTGGGAAGTATTAATTTCTGTATCTGTTCTCTGAAAGATTTTATTTAAGATTGGTATTTTTTTTTTCTTAGATATTTGAAAGAATTCACAGGTGAAACCATCTGGACCTAAGTTTTTCTTTGCGGGAAGTTTTTAAGTAACATTAAAGAAAATAATAAAATAACTATATTCCTTCTTGTGTCAATTTTGGTAGTTTATGTTTTTGAAAGAATTTTATGTAAATTGACACAAAAAAATTTTTTCCGTCTTACTGTTTTTCAATAAGATAATTGAACAATATTCCCTTTTTCATTTCTGGTAGAATGATTTGTGGCTTTTCTCTTACTTTCTTGATCAGTCTTACCAGAGGTCCATCAAAGACCAGTTTCTGCCTTGTTGATTTTCTCTATTGTATGTTTGTTTTGTGCATTGTTAGTTTCTGCTCTTATCTTTATGAACATACTTTCTTTGGGTTTAATTTAGTGTCTTCTTTCTAACTTGTTGACATCAGTAATTGCTTAATTTTTTTCAGACTTTTTTTTAGAGCTCTAAGACTCTAAAATTTCTATCTAAGCACAGCGTTAACTGCATTCCTAAAATTTTTTTCATTATTATTCAGTTCAAACTATTGTCTAGTTTCCATTGCAATTTTTTCTTTGACTCATGGGTTGTGTAGAATATGCTTCTCAATTTCCAAACATTTGACAATGTTTATTATCTTTTAATGATTGATTTCAGTTATCTTTCATTGTGCTTAGAGAACATACACTGTATGCTTTCATCCTTTGAAATTTGTTGAGATTTGCTCCATGTCCAGTTTTTTTTATTGTTTTATTTATTTATTTATTTATTTAATTTATTTTTTTGAGATGGAGTCCCACTCTGTTGCTCCGGCTGGAGTGCAGTGGCACGATCTTGGCTCACTGCAACCTCTGCCTCCCGGGTTCAAGCGATTCTCCTCCCTCAGCCTCCTGAGTAGATGGGATTACAGGCACAACACCACCATGGCCGGCTAATTTTTTTGTACTTTTAATAGAGATGGGGTTTTGCCATGTTGGCTAGGCTGGTCTCGAACTCCTGACCTAAGATACTCTGGCCGGGGATTACAGGCATGAGCCACTGTGCCTGGCCCGACTTTTTTTGTTTTATACAGATGGGGTTGCACCGTGTTGCCCCAGCCTAGTCTCCAACTCCTAGGCTCAAGCAATCCTGCAACCTTGGCCTCCCAAAGTGCTGGGATTAGAGGCATAAGCCACCATGCCGGGCCCTAAACTCTTCTTTTGAATAAAAGCACAGATAGCAAACAAAATTAAATTTGAAATAAAGAGGTTTTTTTTTAACAGAAATCAAAAGGCTTATATGTTCTCCACCCCTTGTTATAAAATGCACCTTACCTTGGGCAAGCAAATTCTACCTGTCTTGAAAAAGCAATAGGAAATACTGCTAGTCTCTTCTCTATGAGACAGAAAAACTTTTACCCAGAGGTGTTGAGTAGGCCAGACATGGTGGCTCATGCCTGTAATTCCACTGCTTTGGGAGGCCAGGTGGGAGGATCACCCGAGCCCAAGTTAAAGACCAGCCTGGGCAACATGGTGAGACCCCCGCCTCCATAAAAAAATGTTAAAAAATTTTTTTAATTTAGTTTTTTTCTTTAATTTTTTTATTATACTTTAAGTTTTAGGGTACATGTGCACAACGTGCAGGTTTGTTACATATGTATACATGTGCCATGTTGGTGTGCTGCACCCATTAACTCGTAATTTAACATTAGGTATATCTCCTAATGCTATCCCTCCCCGCTCCCTCCTCCCCACAATAGGCCCCAGTGTGTGATGTTCGCCTTCCTGTGTCCATGTGTTCTCATTGTTCAATTCCCACCTATGAGTGAGAACATGTGGTGTTTGGTTTTTTGTCCTTGCGATAGTTTGCTGAGAATGATGGTTTCCAGCTTCATCCATGTCCCTACAAAGGACATGAACTCATCATTTTTTGTGGCTACATAGTATTCCATGGTGTATATGTGCCACATTTTCTTAATCCACTCTACCATTGATGGACATTTGGGTTGGTTCCAAGTCTTTGCTATTGTGAATAGTGCTGCAGTAAACATACGTGTGCATGTGTCTTTATAGCAGCATGATTTATAATCCTTTGGGTATATACGCAGTAATGGGATGGTTGGGTCAAATGGTATTTCTAGTTCTAGATCCCTGAGGAATCACCACACTGACTTCCACAATGGTTGAACTAGTTTACAGTTCCACCAACAGTGTAGAAGTGTTCCTATTTCTCCACATCCTCTCCAGCACCTGTTGTTTCCTGACTTTTTAATGATTGCCATTCTAATTGGAGTGAAATGGTATCTCAATGTGGTTTTGATTTGCATTTCTCTGATGGCCAGTGATGGTGAGCATTTTTTCATGTGTCTTTTGGCTGCATAAATGTCTTCTTTTGAGAAGTGTCTGTTCATATCCTTCACTCACTTGTTGATGGGGTTGTTTTTTTCTTGTAAATTTGTTGGAGTTCATTGTAGATTCTGGATATTAGCCCTTTGTCAGATGAGTAGATTGCAAACATTTTCTCCCATTCTGTAGGTTGCCTGTTCACTCTGATGGTAGTTTCTTTTGCTGTGCAGAAGCTCTTTAGTTTAATTAGATCCCATTTGTCAATTTTGGCTTTTGTTGCCATTGCCTTTGGTGTTTTAGACATGAAGTCCTTGCCCATGCCTATGTCCTGAATGGTATTGCCTAGGTTTTCTTCTAGGGTTTTTATGGTTTTAGGTCTAACATTTAAGTCTTTAATCCATCTTGAATTAATTTTTGTATAAGGTGTCAGGAAGGGATCCAGTTTCAGCTTTCTAAATATGGCTAGCCAGTTTTCCCAGCACCATTTATTAATTAGGGAATCCTTTCCCCATTTCTTGTTTTTGTCAGATTTGTCAAAGATCAGATGTTGTAGTTATGTGGCATTATTTCTGAGGGCTCTGTTCTGTTCCATTGGCCTATATGTCTGTTTTGGCACCAGTACCATGCTGTTTTGGTTACTGTAGCCTTGTAGTATAGTTTGAAGTCAGGTAGCGTGATGCCTCCAGCTTTGTCCTTTTGGCATAGGATTGACTTGGCAATGTGGGCTCTTTTTTGGTTCCATATGAACTTTAAAGTAGTTTTTTTCCAATTCTGTGAAGAAAGTCATTGGTAGCTTGATGGGGATGGCATTGAATCTATAAATTACCTTGGGCAGTATGGCCATTTTCATGATATTGATTCTGCCTACCCATGAGCATGGAATGTTCTTCCATTTGTTTGTGTCCTCTTTTACTTCGTTGAGCAGTGGTTTGTAATTCTCCTTGAAGAGGTCCTTCACATCCCTTGTAAGTTGGATTCCTAGGTATTTTATTCTCTTTGAAGCAATTGTGAATGGGAGTTCACTCATGATTTGGCTCTCTTTTTGTCTGTTATTAGTGTATGAGAATGCTTGTGATTTTTGCACATTGATTTTGTATCCTGAGACCTTGCTGAAGTAGCTTATCAGCTTAAGGAGATTTTGGGCTGAGACGATGGGGTTTTCTGGATATACTATCATGTCATCTGCAAACAGGGACAATTTGACTTCCTCTTTTCCTAATTGAATACCCTTTATTTCCTTCTCCTGCCTGATTGCCCTGGCCAGAACTTCCAACACTATGTTGAATAGGAGTGGTGAGAGAGGGCATCCCTGTCTTGTGCCAGTTTTCAAAGGGAATGCTTCCAGTTTTTGCCCATTCAGTATGATATTGGCTGTGGGTTTGTCATAGATAGCTCTTATTATTTTGAGATATGTCCCATCAATACCTAATTTATTGAGAGTTTTTAGCATGAAGGGTTGTTGAATTTTGTCAAAGGTTTTTTCTGCATCTATTGACATAATCATGTGATTTTTGTCATTGGTTCTGTTTATATGCTGGATTACGTTTATTGATTTGCGTATGTTGAACCAGCCTTCCATCCCAGGGATGAAGCCCACTTGATCATGGTGGATAAGCTTTTTGATGTGCTGCTGGATTCGGTTTGCCAGTATTTTATTGAGGATTTTTGCATTGCTGTTCCTCAGGGATATTGGTCAAAAATTCTCTTTTTTTGTTGTGTCTCTGCCAGGCTTTGGTATCAGGATGATGCTGGCCTCATAAAATGAGTTAGGGAGGATTCCCCCTTTTTCTATTGATTGGAATAGTTTCAGAAGGAATGGTACCAGCTCCTCCTTGTACCTCTGGTGGAATTTGGCTGTGAATCCATCTGGTCCTGGACTTTTTTTGCTTGGTAAGCTATTAATTGTTGCCCCAATTTCCTAGCCTGTTATTGGTCTATTCAGAGGTTCAACTTCTTCCTGGTTTAGTCTTGGGAGGGTGTATGTGTCCAGGAATTTATCCATTTCTTCTAGATTTTCTAGTTTATTTGCGTACAGGTGTTTTTAGTATTCTCCGATGGTAGTTTGTATTTCTGTGGGATCGGTGGTGATATCCCCTTTATCATTTTTTATTGCATCTATTTGATTCTTCTGTCTTTTCTTCTTCATTAGTGTTGCTAGCGGTCTATCAATTTTGTTGATCTTTTCAAAAAACCAGCTCCTGGATTCATTGATTTTTTGAAGAGTTTTTTGTATCATTATTTCCTTCAGTTCTGCTCTGATCTTAGTTATTTCTTGCCTTCTGCTAGCTTTTGAATGTGTTTGCTCTTGCTTCTCTAGTTCTTTTAATTGTGATGTTAGGGTGTCAATTTTAGATCTTTCCTGCTTTCTCTTGTGGGCATTTAGTGCTATAAATTTCCCTCTACACACTGCTTTGAATGTGTCCCAGAGATTCTGGTATGTTGTGTCTTTGTTCTCGTTGGTTTCAAAGAACATCTTTTATTTCTGCCTTCATTTCGTTATGTACCCAGTAGTCATTCAGGAGCAGGTTGTTCAGTTCCCATGTAGTTGAGCGGTTTTGAGTTTCCATTTCTTTGGCATCTGTGATGCTAGTGTTAGCCAGTTTTGTTGTAAGTGTTAGAAAGAGGACACATAGAACTAGGAAGCTGAATAGGAAGATGATTATAATGGCGTGATCATGGAAGGCGATTAGCTCTTCTGTTATAGGGGATGTGGCATCTTGAAGGCCTAGTTGGGCTGCGTGTGCCATTAAGATATATGGGACTTAACCTGTAACTTAACTTTGACAAAGTTATGAAATAATTTTTCTAATATCTTGTTGAAAAAGTCATAGAGGTTATGAGGTTGGCTTGAAACCAGTTTTAGGGGGTTGGATTCCTTCCTTTTTCGTCTAGGTTTTATGTAGACTGGTTCTTCAAACGTATGGTAGGGTGGAGGGCAGCCACATAACCACTCTAAGTTAGTGGAAGGTTGTTCAATTATTAGAACTTTCCATTTTGAAGCAAAGGCCTCTCAGGTTATGAAAATTATTAATATTACTGCTGTTAAGGAGATGAATGAGCCTACAGATGATAAAATATTTCACGTGGTATATGCGTCGGGGTAGTCAGAATAACATCGGGGTATTCCAGATAAGCTGAGAATGTGCTGTGGGAAGAAGGTTAGATTTACGCCTACGAGTATGTTTCTTAATCCTGAGTTCTCGTTTGATTGCACTGTGGTCTGAGAGACAGTTTGTTATAATTTCTGTTCTTTTACATTTGCTGAGGATTGCTTTGCTTCCAACTGTGTGGTCAGTTTTGGAATAGGTGTGGTGTGGTGCTGAAAAGAATGTATATTCTGTTGACTTGGGATGGAGAGTTCTGTAGATATCTATTAGGTCCGCTTGGTGCAGAGCTGAGTTCAATTCCTGGATATCCTTGTTAACTTTCTGTCTCATTGATCTGTCTAATGTTGACAGTGGTGTGTTAAAGTCTCCCATTATTATTGTGTGGGAGTCTAAGTGTCTTTGTAGGTCTCTAAGGACTTGCTTTATGAATCTGGGTGCTCCTGTATTGGGTGCATATATGTTTAGGATAGTTAGCTGTTCTTGTTGAATTGATCCCTTTACCATTATGTAATGGCCTTCTTTGTCTCTTTTGATCTTTGTTGGTTTAAAGTCTGTTTTATCAGAGACTAGGATTGCAACCCCTGCCTTTTTTTGTTTTCCATTTGCTCAGTAGATGTTCTTCCATCCCTTTATTTTGAGCCTATGTGTGTCTCTGCACATGAGATGGGTTTCCTGAATACAGCACACTGATGGGTCTTGACAATTTGCCAGTCTGTGTCTTTTAATTGGAGCATTTAGCCCACTTACAATTTAAGGTTAATATTGTTATGTGTGAATTTGATCCTGTCATTATAATGTTAGCTGGTTATTTTGCTCGTTAGTTGATGCAGTTTCTTCCTAGCCTCGATGGTCTTTACGCTTTGGCATGTTTTTGCAGTGGCTGGTACCGGTTGTTCCTTTCCATATTTAGTGCTTCCTTCAGGAACTCTTTTAGGGCAGGCCTGGTGGTGACAGAATCTCTCAGCATTTGCTTATCTGTAAAGTATTTTATTTCTCCTTCGCTTATGAAGCTTAGTTTGGCTGGATATGAAATTCTGGGTTGAAAATTCTTTTCTTTAAGAATGTTGAATATTGGCCCCCACTCTGTTCTGGCTTGTAGAGTTTCTGCCAAGAGATCAGCTGTTAGTCTGATGTGCTTCCCTTTGTGGGTAACCTGACTTTTCTCTCTGGCTGCCCTTAACATTTTTTCCTTCATTTCAACTTTGGTGAATCTGACAATTATGTGTCTTGGAGTTGCTCTTCTCGAGGAGTCTCTTTGTGGCGTTCTCTGTATTTCCTGAATTTGAATGTTGGCCTGCCTTGCTAGATTGGGGAAGTTCTCCTAGATAATATCCTGCAGAGTGTTTTCCAACTTGGTTCCATTCTCCCTGTCACTTTCAGGTAGACCAGTCAGACATAGATTTGGTCTTTTCACGTAGTCCCATATTTCTTGGAGGCTTTGTTCCTTTCTTTTTATTCTTTTTTCTCTAAAATTATCTTCTCGCTTCATTTCATTCATTTGATCTTCCATCGCTGATACCCTTTCTTCCAATTGATTGAATCGACTACTGAGGCTTGTGCATTCGTCACGTAGTTCTCATGCCGTGGTTTTCAGCTCCATCAGGTCCTTTAAGGACTTGTCTGTGTTGATTATTCTAGTTAGCCTTTCATCTAATCTTTTTCCAAGGTTTTTAACTTCTTTGCCTTGGGTTCGAACTTCCTCCTTTAGCTCTGAGTAGTTTGATCGTCTGAAGCCTTCTTCTCTCAAATCATCAAAGTCATTCTCCATCCAGCTTTGCTCCATTGTCGGTGATGAGCTGCGTTCCTTTGGAGGAGGAGAGGCACTCTGATTTTCAGAATTTTCAGCTTTTCTGCTCTGTTTTTTCCCCATCTTTGTGGTTTTATCTACCTTTGGTCTTTGATGATGGTGATGTACAGATGAGGTTTTGGTGAGGATGTCCTTTCTGTTTGTTAGTTTTCCTTCTAACAGTCAGGACCCTCAGCTGCAGATCTGTTGGAGTTTGCTGGAGGTCCGCTCCAGACCCTGTTTGCCTGGGTATCACCAGCGGAGGCTATAGAATGGCGGATATTGGTGAACAGCAAATGTTGCTGCCTGATTGTTCCTCTGGAAGTTTTGTCTCAGAGGAGTACCTGGCCGTGTGAGGTGTCAGTCTGCCCCTACTGGGGGGTGTCTCTCAGTTAGGCTACTCGGGGGTCAGGGACCCACTTGAGGAGGCAGTCTGTCCATTCTCAGATCTCAAGCTGCATGCTGGGAGAACCACTACTCTCTTCAAAGCTGTCAGACAGGGACATTTAAGTCTGCAGAGGTTTCTGGCTATGCCCTGCCCCCAGAGGTGGAGTCTACAGAGGCAGGCAGGCCTCCTTGAGCTGCGGTGGGCTCCACCCAGTTCGAGCTTCCTGGCTGCTTTGTTTACCTACTCAAGCCTTGGCAATGGTGGGTGCCCCTCCCCCAGCCTGGCTGCTGCCTTGCAGTTTGCTCTCAGACTGCTGTGCTAGCAATGAGCGAGGCTTCGTGGGCGTAGGACCCTTCGAGCCAGGAGCGAGATACAATCTTCTGGTGTGCCTTTTGCTAAGACCGTTGGAAAAGCGCAGTATTAGGGTGAGAGTGACCCAATTTTCCAGGTGCCATCTGTCACCGCTTCCCTTGGCTAGGAAGGGGAATTCCCTGACCCCTTGCGCTTCCCAGGTGAGGCGATGCCTCGCCTTGCTTCGACTCACACTCGGTGCGCTGTGCCCACTGTCCTGCACCCACTGTCTGGCACTCCCCAGTGAGATGAACCCAGTACCTCAGTTGGAAATGCAGGAATCATTTGTCTTCTGTGTCGCTCACGCTGGGAGCTGTAGACTGGAGCTGTTCCTATTCGGCCATCCTGGCTCCACCCTCCCCACGTCCAGTTTTATGGTCAATTTTGATAAAAATTTCATATGCACTTGAAAACAAAGTATATTTTGTAATTGTTGGGTGCAGTGTTCTAAATATGTGTTAATCATTTGTTAAATCTTCTCCATCTCTGTTGGGTGGGTTTTTTTGGTCTGTTTTTTTCATCAATTGCTAAGGAATAAGTATTATAATCTCCAACAGTAAGTGTGAATTTGTCTATTCCTCATTTTAATCCTGTCCATTTTTCATTTATATACTTTGAGATTATATTACTAGGTGAGTACTAATTTATGATTGTTTGAACTTCCTAAAGGATTTAACATTTTGTTATTTTAATATGTCCCTCCCTATATCTGGTAATACATTGTACCTCGAAGACTATTTTGTCTGATATTAAAATAGTTAAAGCCAACTTATTTTTAGTTAGTGTTTGTGTGGTTTACCTTATTTACATATTTCAACTTTCATCTTTCTGTGTCCTAATATCTATGGGATGTCTCTTATAAGTAAGATATAGCTAAATTTTGTTTTGATGACCAGTCTGACAGTCTTAGTATTTTTATTTGATTCTTGGGCCTTGCCCCCAGATATTCTGACTCAGAGTTGATTGGTGCCCAAGCATCTGCATTTTAAGAAGCATCTTGATGATTCTCTTATAGGTGAATAATGCCTTGAGAAATACTGGGTAAGGAGTGCAATCATATTGCCAAGTGGATATCAAAGTGTTTAATGACAGGACTTATAGAGCAGAGGTATAAGACTAAGAATGAGATGCTAATAGGAAGCTAGTACATATTAACGATAAGACAAGGAGGGAGGGGAGTATAGCTGATGGTCCAGAGCATCTAAAGAAGGCAGATTTTTAATATAAGGGTAGAGGAGTAATGCACTAGAAGTAGCTTTGGAGTGTTAGCAAGGCATTTCCTATTTTCTGAACTCCAAGGTAATTAGAATATTGAAAAGTGAACAGCATCTATCTGAGAGGACATAAGGAGAAGTTGTGTTTTCAAGGTAGAGGCGGAGATTTGTTAATAGAATGAGATTGAGGATAGGGTATAATGGAATTTTGTAACCATGGAGTAAGATTCCAGGAGAAAAGTGGAAATATTTGGAGAAGGAAACAATTAGGAGTTTAATGATGGGTAGAGGAAGCAAAAGCAGTCTGAGAATAAGAATATGAGAGACCAATTAAGGACCCAATATGTATAGTAACAGAGGATAACTGGGATATAAATGTCTTGAGTGTAGCTGGTGGCAAAGTTTCCAAAAGAAACTTTATCTCAGCAGTCCCCTGTATGTGAGAGTGGAGACTTGATTTTGTCTGCAAGGAATGCTTTTGTGCAAAGTCCCAGAGAGCAGGCCAACATGAGATTACTAGTTAGTTCTCAAGACACTGACCAAGTTTTAGAAGTAATAGCAGTAATTCCGTTTAGAAACTTCTGCTTTGGGACTGGGTGCGGTGGGTCACGCCTGTAATCCCAGCACGTTGGGAGGTCAAGGTCGGTGGATCACGTGAGGTCAGGAGTTTGAGACCAGCCTGGTCAACATTGTGAAACCCCATCTCTACTAAAAATACAAAAATTAGCTGGGCGTGGTGGCACACACCTGTAATCCTAGCTACTCGGGAAGCTGAGGTAGGAAAATGGCTTGAACCCGGGATGCGGAGGTTGCAGTGACTTGAGATCAGGCCACTGCACTCCAGCCTGGGCAACAGAGCGAGACTCTGTCTCAAAAACAAAACAAAACAAAAAGACAAATGTCATATAATTACGTTACTGGGTTTACTGGAATGAGTGTGGCACTAATTGATTCCTTTAAAGACAGTCTTACCTGAATTGTGTTATTGTGGAAGAATGGGACATGGGCTGAAAATGATTTGCTTTACTGTTCATTGTATCTTAAGCCAGTTGACTTCTGTCTTGTTTTTTTTTTTGTTGTTTTTTTTTTTGTTTTTTTTGAGATGGAGTTTTGTTCTTGTTGCCCAGGCCGGAGTGCAGTGGCACAATAATTTTGGCTCACTACAACCTCCACCTCCCAGGTTCAAGCGATTCTCCTGCCTCAGCCTCCCGAGTAGCTGGGATTACAGGCACCCACCACCACGCCTGGCTAAATTTTTTTGTATTTTGAGTAGAGACTGGGTTTCACAATGTTGGCCAGGCTGGTCTCAAACTCCTGACCTCAGGTGATCCACCCACCTAGGCCTCCCAACGTGCTGGGATTACAGGAGTGAGCCACCATGCCTGGCCATGTCTTCCATTTTTGAGAAGAATGCACTGCGTGAGTGATAACATAAGTAAAAGGCATTTTTAAATGATAACCTTAAGTTGTCATGGACATGTAAATCACTTTGACTGTTGTTATAATAAAGTGAACAGTTCTTTTCTATAGAAAGAATAACTAAAGCTTATAAAGCCTTTACCTAAATAACTTGGGAGAGCACTGTTACCTGTAGCAGCTTTTATATTGCAGTTATAGTTTTTGTTTTAGTGAAACCTGTGCGAAGGGATCTCCAGAATTAGTGTAGATTGATGAATACACACTTTTCAAAACTCTTAGAAACAGTTGCCTCTTTTTTTTTCTTTTTTTTTTAATTTTATTATTATTATACTTTAAGTTTTAGGGTACATGTGCACAATGTGCAGGTTTGTTACATATGTATACATGTGCCATGTTGGTGTGCTGCACCCAACAGTTGCCTCTTTTACTTCAAATCTATTAAGAGCCAACCAAAAATAGAGATGATAGCAGTGATGATGTAATTGTTTAATCTTAAGTACCAGGTGAAGCTAATGAGTTTAATGTATGTACTCAGTAATTACTAACATTTTGGATTTACTGTTTAGTACAGAGGTGTTCATAACTGAATTGAAAAGAAAAGGAAGAAAAGTTTAATTTTGTGGTATTCTTCATTCATTCCTGTCTTTAACTTTGCTGTCCCAAGTCTAATGGGAGTAAATACAAATACATGGCTACTCTTAATTATGAAAACAAGACTTAATGAATTTAGAATTTAGTCTTTTCACAAACTATAAATAAGGAAATTGATTTGTCATTTCTAGTTCACTTTAATGGTAATTTAACTCTCTAATTTACACATTGCATACAATTGATATTTATTGAATTCCTCTTTGGACAGCCTAACAATGTACAGACACTGGGAAGAAATTAGAGGAATAGTCTCTATCTTCACTAAGCATATGAGGTGGGACACTTTTTATTGCTTACTTTGGCTAGGCATCCATTTACATACTAATTCATTTAATTCTCACAACAACCCTATGAGGCAGGTACTGTTAGTGCCCCTATTCATTTAGCGTGGAAGCAATTGAAGCACAGAGGCACTACATGACTTGTCCTGGATCATATAGTTAGTAAGTTATGGAACTGCGATTCAAACCCAGGCAGTCTGCTTCAAGAACCTGTGCTCCTGATCACTACTCTGTACTGCCTCTTGTTCCAGAACAGTATTAAGAAAAAAAAAAATCTGATACTGTTCAATATAGTAGCCAATAGCCTCATGTGGCAATTTAAATTTAAATTTAAATTGATTAAAATTAAAAATCTAGCTCCTCAGTTAAACAAGCCACATTTCAATTGCTAAGTAGTCACATGTTGCTAATGGTTACCGTATTGGACATTTCGTTCTTTCTTTTTTTATTTATTATTATTATTATTATTTTGAAAAAGAGTCTCATTCTGTTGCCCAAGCTGGAGTGCAGTGGCACCATATCGGCTCACTGCAACCTCTGCCTCCCAGGATCAAGAATTCTTGTGCCTCAGCCTCCTGAGTAGCTGAGATTACAGGTGCGTGCCACCATGCCTGGCTAATTGTTGTATTTTTAGTAGAGACAGGTTTCGCCATGTTGGCCAGGCTGGTCTCAAACTCCTGGCCTCAAGTGATCTGCCTGCCTCAGACTCCAAATGTGCTGGGATTATAGGCATGAGCCACCACACCTGGCCTGTATTGGGCATTTCTATGGCTGTAGAAAATTCCATGGGACAGCACTGATATAGAAAACAAGTGTTATAGTAGTTCAAGAAAGTAAGTGTAAAATTATCCTAGGCACTAATGATTGAATGGGTGGCTTAAGTAAGTGGCTAGATGGACTGTCCCCAAGAAGAGGGCCATATTATAGGTGAAAAAGAAGGAAACAATAGTAAGTTCAGTTCTGGACATGGTGAAAGGAGGTATCTGTGAGCTAGCCACCTGGAGCTGTCCTGGAAATGAAATGCTGAAGCTCAAAAGACAATTCTGAGTTGGAATCATATTTATAGAAATAATCCCGAACCACTAGAACTGATGCAATTTCTAAAAGAGAAAATTTAGAAAAAGGTTGGGGTATATTTAGAGAGTTGATGGGAAAAGAGGGGTCAGAGAAAGACTGATTAAAGAAATAAGAGGATAGCCAAAATGAACGACAAGAGCAAAGAGAGATGAGAATTTCATGAAAGAGGGATTGATTTTTAGTAAGAAACAGTAGCAATATAAGGACTGAGACAGGAAAAAAAAATACTGGATATGTTGTAAAGTCTCTGCTGACCTTTGAAAGTGCAATGGAATATTTGTGGCAGAAACCAAATTATATGACTGGCAGAGAGGAAATAGAGACAGAGGTTTAACTCAATTTTTCACGAAGTTTAGACGTTAAATAAAAGAGTGAATGGGTACAGAATGGCAGGGAAAGTGAAGGGCTTTTTTTTAATTAGAAAAAAATAAGCTTGACTGAAGGCAAAAGAGCAGTAACTGGAAGTGAAGAGACAGCAGTAACCTTTACACTATTCATTTGTTCATTTCTTCCTTCAATACATATGTTACATACCTCCTTGGTATCAGACACTGTGCAAGGAACTGGAAGTATAGCAGTGAATGAGATAAATTAATTTCTGCTCCTGTGGTATATTCTCCTAGTATCTCTTTTTCACCCTTCTCTCTTTGTTACCAACTCCCTCCTAAGACCTCCTACCTCCCTTCCTCTCTTTAATAATGATTCTGCAGGTACAAATACTAAACCAAACTTATTAGCATCTACAATATCCACTGTTCTTTCTTGATGTGTATCATTTTTTTTCTAAATATGTTTCTGCATTTTAAAAGTTACAAACAATGGGCCAGGCGCGGTGGCTTACGCCTGTAATCCCAGCACTTTGGGAGGCCAAGGCAGGCGGATCACAAGGTCAGGAGTTTGAGACCAGCCTGGCCAATATGGTGAAACCCCATTTCTACTAAAAAATACAAAAATTAGCCAGACGTGGTGACATGTGCCTGTAATCCCAGCCACTTGGGAGGCTGAGGCAGGAGAATCGCTGAACCCAGGGAGGCGGAGGTTGCAGTGAGCTGAAATCATGCCACTGCACTCCAGCCTGGGTGACAGAGTGAGACTCCATCTCAAAAAAAAAAAAAAAAAAAAGTTACAGACAATGAATGAACTCTTCAAATGAAACAAAACCTTATGTACATAGGTCTTGATTTTGTTTTCAAGAAAAAGTCAAAAGCTGAATAAATGAGAAGGTCCAAAGTGGCAGCATCGTTGAGGAGTACTGTTCCTTTTTCCATTTGATGATCAGCTGTACTGTTGCTTCCTTTATTGTTAAGAAAATCCTTTATTGTATAGCTGTAAGGTCTGTAATGACTTTAAGTATCAGATCCTTGATGACCTGCTTTAAATATAAAACACACTTCTCATAGTTTGGCATTACCTCCCATCATGTTGGGTTCTCAGTATAGCACCAAAGTACTACTTACTGTGTCAAGAGCAATACTTGTTATAATGTCAAGCTTTCCCTTGGAAATTACTCACACATGTGAAAGATGTAACATCATAACTAGAAGCTGTAAGCTACTGATTTAAAATTGTTGGGATTCATTCCATGTGAATTGGGTTAAACTTAGCCAGTATTAAGTTGGAAAGGAAAGAAGACACCTTATCTTCTGATTTTAAAAGGAAACAGGAAAGGATTTGACTAGGAAAGGTAATTTGTGGTAGAGAAGAGTTTAGATGAGTGAGTCAGTCTGGCTTGGGAGTATGCATAGCCTGAAAGGTGCTGGCTAACAGGTTTGGTACAATGCAAGGCTAAGAGGGTATGCTGCCTAGAAATTTACATTGGATGATGGCTATTCTCAGAGGAGTTATAGTCCTTTAGAGGAGGCAACATTAGGTACTTGAAATAATTTAGAGAAAAAAAATGGTGTACTGCAGTGGTTGCCAAACTTAATCATGTATCAGAATCACCTAGGGAACTTTAAAAAAAAAAAATACAGACTCTTGAGCCCCATCCCAGAAGTTTCAAGGACAGTCCAGGAATCTGTATTTTTTAACAAACTTCCTATTGGCTTTGATTTAGTTTGCTCTTGGAACTGTACTGGAGAAACACTGGAATTCGGTAAATAATAAACTGAACATAATAAAAACCTGGAGGATGAGTTATCCTAAATTTATTCATGTATTTAATAAACATGTCTAAGCATCTAATATATGCTAGATATTATGCTATTTTCTAGGGCTAAAGGATGAATAATACATGGTCCGTGCCCTTACACTCAGAGTCTAGAAGAAGAGATATCAGTAGATAAATAAGACAGTGTGCTTAGTGAAATGATAGAGGTGTGTAGGATGCTATGGAAGCAAATAGGAGGAGTACCAAACCTGCTCTGGTTGATTTGGGCCCAGAAGGAAGGTAGGATCAGAAAGACTTAACTGAAGTCGCTGAGCTTTTTCATAACAGATAACTTACTCTTTATAAGACCTCATACTGCTTTTTCTCATTGTTTTGCTTAGAAATCTTGCTAAAACATATGTTTTTTCTGCTTGGTTTAACTTTTTTACTGCTAACTTGACATGATCACATATTATAAGTTATTTTTGCCATATAACAAAATAGTGATGCCTTCTATTGTAATATGCAGAATTAATTTCCATTATCCCAAATGGTCCTCAACTGCTGCAACTGTGCTATTCTCATTTTTCTGTCATACTGTCTTTGATGTCAGTCTGATAATTGTCTTCTTAATGTCAATGTGGCTGTTTATAGAGTAGCATATTTATTTAAATTTTTCCTTGGCCAAAAGGATTTGGACAAAAAAATTGTGAATAAGTAAAAGTGTAAAGCATTAAGTTGAATGTAGTATGTGAGTTTTAGTGCATTTTATGACATCTATTTTAACTACTGAGCTATCTTGTTTTTTTAATTATTATGTCAAAGCCAGTAGATACTTTAGAAATCACATAATACAATTCTTTCATTTTATAGGCAAAGAAACTGAGGCTCCAAGATACCAGGGACGATCAGTGGCAATCAAGGAGTAGAATCTAGGCCTCCTGATACTGTAATAGTCCCATTCTATGAAAGCAGCAGTTCTTAACGAGGGGATTACAGCAGAATCGTTTGGAGAATTGTTCAAAATACACATGCCTAGTATTTAATCCCAAAGGTCCTGATTCAGTAAGATTGGCATGTATATTTCTTAAAAAAAATTAATTCTTGGAAAATGCCGATGTGTACTCATGAACCAGCATACTTTAATCTGCTTGCCATATATCATAATTTGTTTCTGAATAGTTATACAGTACAGGCAGTAAATGCCTATAGAGCCTAGACATGAGAAAAAGAGAGTCTTTGGAGATAACTGTGAGTGAGAAAGTCATTGGAGGGTTTTGAGCAAAAGAGCGTATGATATAACTTGCATTTTTAAAGGATCACTCTAGCTACTGTATAGAAAACAAACAGGGAGGTTGGGGGATGCCTCTAGTAGGGAGATCAGTCAGAGACCATTATATCAATTCAGGCAAGGAGATAGAGACTTTGACCTGGGTGGTAATAGTGGAGATAGGGAGAAATGAACAGATTTTTGACATATTTTTTTAAAGTCAAAGAAGCAGAACTTGTTGGCAAATGCAATAATGCAATATGAAAGGAGTCAAGGATCAGTCTTAAGTTTTTGGCCCAAGTAACTGGAAGAATAAAATTGCCTTTTAGATGAAATTGCCACAAGAATGAGTATTGATAGAAAAGAAAAGAGACTGAAGAACTAAACCTTGAGACACATTAGCAATTAGAAATCAGAGAGATAAGAAGGACCCAAATGGAAGCTGAAAAGCACTAGCCAATGAGATAGGAAGAAAACTAGAAGAGTGTGATATCCCAGAAGCCAGGTGAAAAATGTTGCAAGACACGAGGTGGATCAAATGGTGGAGTAAAATGAAAACTGTTAATTGACCATTGGAGTTAACAATGTGGAGGTCATTGGTGACCTTGACAAGGAATAGTTCATTGGGGTCATTAGGGCATAAGTTCGATAGAAATGAGTTCAAAAGAGAATGTGAAGAAAAGGATTACCGCTAAGAATAGACAACTCTTTGGAGGACTTTTGCTGTGAAAAGGAAAAGGAAAGTGGCATGGTAGCTGGAAGAGGACTTGAGGTCAAGAGAAGGATTTTTTTTAGATGAGGAAAATTATGCCATGTTTGTATGCTGAGAATTGAATTGTGTGGTGAGGATTATCCAGCTGAGAAGGAAAATTTGATGGTATAAGGGAGAGACGGGAGAACTGGTAGAATTACATCTTTAAGCAAGAAAGTGGGGATGGGATCTCATGCACAGAAGGAGGATTTAGCCTTAGGGACATAGGCAGCCTAAGAAAACAGCAAGAAGGAAAGCAGATTATGTGGGCACAGATGGAGAAAGGCAGATAAATACAGGAAGAACAGGTTGTAGAAGCTCCTTTCTAATTGCTTCTGCACTAGGAAGCAAAGTTAGTTTTAACTGAGGATGGGGAAGAGATATTAGAAGTTTATAAAGAGGAAAAAGTATGAAATAGTTATCTGGAAGAGGAAAATGGTAAATTAACTGTGGAATTGATTGAAGGACAGCTCCAAAGGTACACTTAAATTTAGAAAGAATCCATTCATCTTGAATGCGTATTTTTCCGAGCTCCACATTCGGTTGCTGGGTTGTAGACATGAAAGAGGGTAAAAGGTGGATATAACCAAGAGTGGAATTTTGTCAGATGAATACAATGTGAGAGAGGGGCAAAGGAGTGACTGTATGATGGATCATGAAATTTATGCTTAGTTAGGAGGGAGGTGAGGCTTCGGAAGTGGAACAGAGAGCTGTGAAAGATGTTAAGATTAATTAACTATAAGGTCCTCTGGAGTAAAAATTATTAAAGTATTAAAGAGAGTAAGCTTAAAAGATAAGAGGTAGCGATCAGAAAGTCAGAGTAAGATGCTGAAATGCTTTAAACCGGAATAAGGGTACTTACTAGTTTGTTTAGTGGCTATATTAATTATTTTAATTGATTGATTTGTTAGGTTCATGATTACAAAGAAGGAACCCCAGAAGAGAAGACCTACTACATAGAATTATGGGATGTTGGAGGCTCTGTGGGCAGTGCCAGCAGCGTGAAAAGCACAAGAGCAGTATTCTACAACTCCGTAAATGGTAAAACATTTTTAAATTTCTATCTTATATTAATGGTCTAAGAGTATAGATCATCTGATATGTAATGCCATAGCATGCCAGACTCATCTTAATTTGAGAAAGATATAATGTACTCACAACCCTTGATTTAAATCTGCATAGTACATTCCAGTTTGCGTTTCTACATTGTAACCATCTAATTCAGAACATTAAACATTAAGTGTTTCTATTTATATTATTGTCATAAACTAAATATTGAGAAATAAAATCATATTTTTGGTACTTGACATAAAACATGGAACTTAAAATGTTGTCCTCTGGGGTTGCTCTGTCTCCAGTGAGTTGAGTAAGTACAGTAGGACCATAGGAGTCCCATAGTCTTAAGCCAGATAACACAGAGATAGAGGGATTTCTTTCATCTGCCCCTTAGAAAGAGCCCTAAGGCTCTTTCTCAGCTAGTTATAAAGAGCTGCTTAAGGGGGTCTTTATGGGTGCAGAAATTTTATCCAGTTATAGATATTCAAATACCTGGAGCAGACTTCCAGATGGAGCTGTGTAATATACGACATAATTTCCTTTCATAGAGTACCTACTCTGTGTCAAGAGACTAAACTGCTTATACCTGTGATTTGCCAATAGAGTTTCTTTCTTAGTCTTTTTAAAAATTCATTTTTAAAACCTGTTTTTACTGTGAAACATAATTTCAACTTCTGTTTGATTAATATACCAAAGGATTTGGCATTTCCCTCCTGGTAAATGCATAGCCATTAATAGACTTCATTTATGCTGTGCTTAGATCTCACTCAATATTAGGTAAGCATTGCATTTATTCAGTATGTTCATTCCTTATATTCCTCTTCTGATGTCTTCCCAGATCATGAGGTGTTGTAGACTCTACAAAAAGATGTAGAGAAGGTTCTTTTCATTGGATACATATTATAGAATACAGAATGAGATGTGTCAGTTCAGACCCATATCCTATTTAGCTCAGAATTCTATCTGAAAATGTCACAGTCTTAATAAAGAAACAAAGCATTCATAAATGAGACAAAAATAGTTATAAGATGACCTTGATATATGCCATCATCATGCAAAAAGGTATATACAATGGTATATATGAATAGAATGCATATAAATAAGAAAAACAACAATAAGACTAAGTATAGTGTGAGGTGACCTCTTAGAGAAGGAAGTGAAACCTAGTTTAGACTTATACTAGAGTGATCAACTTGTATCAGTAAAATTACTTGTCAAATTAAGATATCTATCTGATCTGGCACAGAGAAGTCTGAATATATAACACCTTTGATATTTAGGTATTTTTGAGACAGAGGTACAATAAAAATTATGAATAAATAATAGAGATAAATACCACTCAAATCCTAGAAGCTATGGAATTCTGAGTTGTAAACTTGTAAGTGCTGAAGAAGAAATCCATCTAATCTATATTTGTTTATCTTTTCTGTACCTACTATTCATTAGTGATTTGTCTCCTTTAATATTATTGAAAGAATTGCATATATCCTATGTTGATTTTGCAGATAAGACTGAAATATATTTCCATTTCTTAAAAGTAAAAAAAAAAAACTGCATTTATTGAAAAACCTATTTCTGTGTTCTTTCACCTTAGCTCTGGAACATTCTTCCTGGTAGAAGCACTCAAAGTTCTTTATTCCATCTACTATCCTTAGTTTCCTAAGAAACTGAACATAAGGATCACTCTATCCAAATGCACAGTCCATATTCTTAGCGATAACTTTCTTCCCTTAATACCCTACATTCTTCCCTCTCTAATAGCCTAGGCTAGTAATCCTTCAGAAGGAAATAATGAAGTGTCTTTACTTCTCTCCCTTAAGATTAAGATATATTATCATATCACCCTGACTCCTTTCATCTCAGCCCCACCTTGATTCTTCTAGCACATGTTCTACAAAGCAATAACTCTCAGCCCAAATGAAAGAGAAAGAATAGGGGAAAAGGGTACTCAAATGCCCTTAAAAGCTCAAAAGTCTTACCTAAAGATCCTCAGTAAAGTCTTCCCTGTCCATCTAATAGCCAACTTAGGCCTTTGTAATTCTTTTACTCCCCCGTCCAAAATTCTCACCCATAGTTTTGCCATATTTATAGCCTGGGGAAAAGGAAAGGGAGAAAATATATGCCAGTTTTTTGCCCTAAAATGGAGATTTTATTCTGCTTACCACCAGTCTTTACTGTCAGATTACCTGAGTGCAAATTCTGACTTACCATGTGCCCAAGGACAAGTTACTCTACTTCTCTGAACTTTAGTTTTCTCTTGTGTATAAAGATAATAATAATTCTTCATAGGACTGTTCTGAAAATTAAATTAGATAACACATGTAAAGCACAATATTTAGTACATTAGTACTGAATAAATATTAGCTGTAGTCTTTAATGGTGGTTCTTTATTCCTTTTTTTAAATCTGTGCCACTGATGCTGATTAAAACCCCTCATTGAGGAAGGAAGAGTGGGTACAATTGGATATTAGGGCAAGTGTCAGATCTCTATTAGTTTCAGACACCAGAAGAGATGCAGGTTTATCTAAGCTGGCTGGAACAAGTCAGCTATAGCTTGTACAAGCCCTTTAGTTACACAGATGGCTATAAAAACTGTAGAAGCCAGCTAATTCTACCTCTTCTGCTTTTCTTTTTCAAATTGACACATACCACCTCTTGAAGATGGAGGAATCATTGGTTTCATGTCCTATTCACAATCTGGGTAATATAGAAAAGGGTTGGGAGTTTGAAACCTGTAGTGTTTTGACCATAAGGTGATATCCTAAATTCTAGTGGGCATCAAAGTTTTTCCTCTTTTGTCTATATCTTGCTGTAATAATTAATTCCCTGATTTTCCTTTCTATCTAGGATTTTAATTGATTCTCTTCAGTTGTATTTTAGTGTATTTCTGGGCCTCGTTACATTTTGTTATTTTTCTCAATCTATCAAAATCCGTGCATGTACTTTCTACTATCCATACTTCTTTACTATTTAATGTCTCACCCACTCTCTTATAGTGGCATATTTCTTTTGCTCTAATAACTAAATCTCTTACAGGTAGGAAGCTTACATAACTAATCATTATTCAAAGAACTAGAAAATTAGACATTTGAATAGATTAGTCTCAGATGATCTACAGGACACTATTTTGTCAGCTAAAGAATAGCAATTGTATCAAATCAGTACTATTTTAGTAGATTTTCATTACCTAATATTACTTTTAGTGAGTATAAGTAATATATGTATGTACTGGTATCTATGGCAGTACTGTGTACAGTGAAGAAACAACATAACTTTTTGAATGAATAATTTCATATGTACTTGAAGTAGTTTTGATTCTCTTGATTAATAAAGTGGTTCTACAGGTAGGAACAGGCATGGAGTAGGCACTCAGGAAGTGTTGAATGAAGTAAAGATCTGCTAAAAGTTTAATGGGATTTCGTCAGCCCTTGTAAAATAAAGAGTTATAAAACTGACAGAGAAAGGTTTATGGCTATTTATAAATATTTGTAGAGAAAATTTTAAAATAATTGTCTCTGAGTTGTTAGTCATACTAGAATGCTAGATTCATTAAGCAACCTAATGCTTCTGTTTACTAAGCTTCATTTGGCCAATTGTGAAATGAAGAGGAATTGTTAAGGGATTAACATTGTTTTCTCTGATTATTTTAGGTATTATTTTCGTACACGACTTAACAAATAAGAAGTCCTCCCAAAACTTGCGTCGTTGGTCATTGGAAGCTCTCAACAGGGATTTGGTGCCAACTGGAGTCTTGGTGACAAATGGGTGAGCCAATTTCACAATTGGTTTGAAAGATTGTAGCAATCACAGGAATGTACTTCCCTGAATAACACTTTGTAAAATGTTTGATTTGCAAAGATTTTTCTTTCAGTGTATAGATTATCTTTTCCTTTTAACAGTATCTTTCACAAAGCAATAGTTTTCATTTTGATGAAGTCTGATTACTCTTCTTTTCTTCTATGGATTGTGCTTTTGATATCATGTCTCAGAACTCTTTGCCTAATCCTAGATGATGCAGGTTTTCTCTTATGTTTTCCTCTACAGATTTTATGGTTTTACATTTTTATAGTAAAACATTTATATAAAACATTTTAAGTTTTATAGGTTTGCATTTAGATTTATGATCTAAGTTAGTTTTGTACGAGATGGGAGGTTTTGGTTGAGGTTAACGTTTGCATATGAATGTCTAACTATTCCAGCACCATTTATTGAAAAGATATCCTTTCTCCATTGAATTGCTTTTGCTCCTTTGCCAAAAATCAGTTGACCATATTAGTATGAGTCAACTTCTGGACTCTAGTTCTGTTCCATTGATCTATGTGTCTGTCCCTTCACCAGTACTACGCTGTCTTAATTATAGTCTTAAAATTGAGCAGTATGATTCCTTCTACTTTATTCTTTTTCATAATTGTTTAGCTATTATAGTTTATTTGTTTTTCCACATGAATTTTTAGAATCAGCTTGTCTATATTGACAAAAATTTTGGTTGGATTTTTATTAGAATTGCATTGAACCTATTGATCACATTGGAGAGAATTAACATCTTTATTCTGTTGCATCTTCCAGTTCATGAACACAATATATCTCTAAATTTATTTAGATCTTCTTTTATTTCTCTTACCAGCATTGTGTAGTTTTCAGCATACAAATCCTGTGCATGTTTTATTAGATTTATACCAAAATATTTAATATTTTTTAAGCTATTGTAAATTGTTTTTTTGTTTTGTTTTGTTTTGTTTTGAGACTGAGCCTTGCTCTGTTGCCAGGCTGGAGTGCAGTAGCACGATCTCAGTTCACTGCAACCTCTGTCTCCCAGGTTCAAGCAATTATTGTGCCTCGGCCTCCCAAGTAGCTGGGATACCTGGCTGATTTTTGTATTTTTGGCAGAGACAGGGTTTCACCATCTTGGCAAGGCTGATCTCGAATTCCTGACCTCAGGTGATCCACCTGCCTTGGCCTCCCAAAGTGCTGGGTTACAGGCATGAGCCACCATACCTGGCCATAAATGGTATATTTAAACTTCAGTTTCAAATTTTCCATTGCTAGTATAAAAAAAAATAGAATTGATTCTGAGTGCTGACCTGTATCTTGTGACCAGAGTTTTTTAGTACAATCCTTAGGATGCTCTACATAGACAGGTTTATTTCTTCCTTTTCAATCTGTGTGCTTGTTGTCTTATTTCTTGCCTTTTCGCACTGGCAGCAACTTCCAAAAGGGTACTAACTAGGAGTGATAAGAGTGAATATCTATGTCTTACTCCAATCTTAGGGGGAAAGCATTCATTTCACTATTAAGTATGATGTCAGCTTTAGGTTTTTTTTGTTGACATCATTTATCAGGTTGAGAACATTTCTTTCTATCCCTAATTTGCTGATAGTTTTGTTAATATCATGAACAGATACTGAATTCTGTCAAAAGCCTTTTCTGCATCAATTGATATGGACATGTGGCTGCTTCTTTAGGCTGTCAGTATGGTGGATTACGTTCACTGATTTTCAATACTGGTGGATTACATTCACTGATTTTCAAATATTGAACCAGCCTTCCATTCCTTGGTCATGGTGTATTATTCATTTTATGTGTTGCTGGATTTGATTTGCTAATATTTTGTTGAGGATTTTTATCCATGTTCATGACAGGCATTGGTGTGTAGTTTTCTGTTCTCATAATGTCTTTGACTGGTTTTGGTGTGAGGATAATGTTGGCCTCATAGAATTAATTGGAAGTATTCCTTCCTCTTCTATTTTTTGGAAGAAATTGAGTATATTTGGTGTTATTTCTTCTTTGAAGGTTTGGTAGAATTTACCAAGAGACCATCTGGGCCTGGAGGTTTCTTATTTGAAAGGTTTTTAACCACAAAGTCAACTTCTTTAGTAATTAGGATTGTTCAAGTTATTTATTTCATCTTGGATGAGTTTTTGTAATTTGTGATTTTCAAGGAATTCCATCTATTTCATTAAATTTTTTAATGTATATCAATAGAGTTGTTTATAGTATTTGTTTATTGTCCTTTTGATAGTTGCACAGTTTGTAGTGATATGACCTTTTTCATTCTGATTTTGGTATTTTATGTCTTCTCTTTTTCTTGTCAGACTTGTAGAGGTTTATCAATTGTATTGATTTTTTTCCAAAGAAGCAACTTTTGGTTTCATTGATTTTTCTCTATTGTTTTTCCATATACAGTTTAATTGATTTCTACTCTTATTTCTTTCCTTCTGCTTGCTTTTGGTTTATTTTGTTCTCTATAGCTTCTTAGATTACTTACTGGATACCTTGCATTTTTGCCAATACAAGTATTTTAATGCTATAAATTTCCCTCTAAACACTGCTTTAGCTGCATCCTGCAAATGTTTAAATGTATTACTTTTATTTTCATTTAGTTCAAAATATTTTCTAATACTCCTTGAGATTTTCCCATAGGCTGTTTAGAAATGTGTTGTTTAGTTTCCATGTATTTAGAGGCTTTCCAGTTATTTTTTGCTATTGACTTCTAGCTTAATTTTATTATGATCCAAGAACATACTTTATATGATTTCACTTATTTTATATTTGTGCAACACCCGGTATGTGACCTGGGTGTTGTTGTCTCTGTTGTTTCAGTTTTCAGTGTCTTTGGTACACTAAGTAGGATCAAATCCATGCATGCACAGCTTTGGCAATGAGCTCAAGCATTCACGAACTACTTCATGGGGTTGCTTTCTCACACTTCACCCTGTCTACAGTCTCTGCCATACTTTGTGATTTGCTGGGGCTCCCTTTTTCGGTCCCCAGGCCAAATTTTCTCATGCACTTGCACAACTGCACCTATGTCCAGGGCCAAGTGGTAGAAGGACAAAGAATAAAAGCAATGGGAGTTTGCCCCACTGTCTTGAGATACAGTTCCATCAGTCAGAAAAATTTCCCTTCTGGGCCCGGCGCGGTGGCTCACGCCTGTAATCTCAGCACTTTGGGAGGCCAAGGCGGGCGGATCATGAGGTCAGGAGATCGAGACCATCCTGGCTAACATGGTGAAACCCTGTCTCTACTAAAAATACAAAAGATTAGCCAGGCGTTGTGGCGGGCGCCTGTAGTCCCAGCTACTTGGGAGGCTGAGGCAGGAGAATGGCATGAACCTGGGAGACGGAGCTTGCAGTGAGCCGAGATCACGCCACTGCACCCCAGCTTGGGCAACAGAGTGAGACTCCGTCTCAAAAAAAAAAAAAAAGAAAAATTTCCCTTCCTCTGTATTTGTAAGCAGGCGTTCCCAACCCCTGGTCCATGGCCTGTTAGGAACCAGGCCACACAGTGGGAGGTGAGTGGCAGGTGAGTGAGCATTACCATCTGAGCTCCACCTCCTGTCAGATTAGCAGAGGCATTAGATTCTCATAGGAGCGTGAATCCTATTGTGAACTGTGCATGTGAGGGATCTAGGTTGCAGGCTTCTTATGATAATCTAACTAATGCCTGATGATCTGAGGTGGAACAGCTTCATCCTGAAACCATCCCCCAAACACCTGTCCATGGAAAAATTGTCTGCCATGAAACTAGTCTCTGGTACCAAAAAGGTTGGGGACTGTTGTTTTTGAGCATTCTGCTTGTGTTATAGCCTTTGCCACAACTGTCATGAAATTGCTCAGAAGCTGGCTTACAACAGAAGGAAAAATATTGTATTTCTACACTATCTCCAAGTATTCGTGTGTCCCCTTTCTTGTTTCATGAGCCAGAACTATAGGCCTTCTTCTGGAGTATTCTGTTCACACTTTTGGGTTTTAAGCTGAGTTGCATTCAGACAAGGGGATATGGAAGGAAACTGCTAATTCAATGGTTCTTCACATTGCAGTCTTCCTTAATATGCTCACTATTAATTTTTCAGAGTCCTCAAATAGCCACTTCATGTATCCTGTCCAGGTTTTATAGTTGCATTCACTGGGAAAGACAGGATAGAGTTTGCTTATTCTGTCTTACCTAGAACAGAACCCCATTTTCTATCTTTTGATTGAAGCAAGTCTTTCAAAGGCTTTGTTTTCTGTGTGGAAGTCTAATTGTTATGTGAAACCTAAATATAGTATAAGTTTGAGTATATATATGTAGATTCCAGCAAGACCTAATAAAGAATAAGCACAACTAATTTAAAACCTATATTTCAAAGCCTCATTGATATTTATTTCCTATCTCAATTCCTTTCATCACTGATGTCTTCATTAACCTAGCTTGTTCTCTATTTTCTACTAAAATTTCTACTTAAGAAACTTATCCTTAAATTTAGGGTTAGGAGACAGCATATTCATATCAGAAAGAAATCTGCATTTTTGTCAGGGAATTCAGTAAAAGTTCTATACCCATTTGCATTTTGACACTACAGTTTCATTTTGATTCTATAGATAAACCTGCAAATGTATAAAACAACCTTAATACATTGGTGTGCTTTGTTGGTGCATTATTGTATAGCATCAAAAAATTTGGAAACAACCCTAGTGTCCGAGCAACGAAAGATTCATTGAATAAATAATGGCATATCCACATACTGGAGTAGTATTCAATGTTTAAAAAAGAATCAGGAAGATCTCTATGAACTAAAATAGAAAGATCTACAGAGGGTACATTATTAGGTTTAACAAATCAAAATGCAGAGAATATATATCGTATACCTCCTATTGTATAAGAAAGAAAAGAAATAATATGTATTTATATTTGGATAAAGAATCAGTGAAAAATAAGAAACTAATAAAAATGGTAACCTATAGGGGGCCAGGGGAGATGGGTGGATGGGTACAGTGGTAGGAGCAAGACTGCTTAGCATATATCTTTTATATCAGTTTGAGTTTTTAGCCATATTTAAACAATTTAGGTAAATTTTATATTATGTAGTTTTTACCACAATAACTTTTTTTAACTTTTTATTATAGAAAATTTTAAACATATGTAAATACAAAGAATGGAAAATGAACTCCCATATACCCGTTGCCTAGTTTCAACAATTATCAACATATAGCTAGTCTTGTTTCATCCATATCTCTACCCACTTTCTATCTTCTCCCACTCTCAACTGGATTATTTTGAACCAAATGTTAAAACATCATATCATTTCATCCATATATACTTTAAAACATAAGGGCTTTTTTTTAACATGACACCATATAATTATCACAGCTAAAACTTTAATAATAATTCTTTAATAACCAAATATTATTTTAATTTCCCCAATTGTCTCATAAATGTTATAATTGATTTTTTCGAAATAGTATCTAAATAAGGTCCACTGGTTGTATTTGGTTTCTTAAGTATCTTTTAATCTTAGGTTCTCCCTTTTTGGTTGTTTTTTTTCCAACCTCCTAGCACTTTATTTGTAGAAGAAGATGGCTGTTTGTCTTGTACAGTTTCCTATATTCTGGATTTGCTGATTGTCTCCCTGTATTGTCTTTTAAACTTGTTTCTCTGAATTCTAAATCTTCTCTGAAGTGATAATTAAATATAGTGGTCTGAAAGATGCAAGTTTTTTTGTCTTTATTTTTCCACCCAGTATTATGCATATAATATGATACCTGGCTGTGTGTCTCTTTGTGATGTTAAGGAGCTATCAGCCTTATCCATCCATGATAAAGTTCTTCAGAAGTTTACCAAAGAAGATTTCAAGATTAAATTTTAAATTGGATGCTGCAAGATTTTATGAAAAAGTTAAAAGGAAAGCTAAAAAGAGAAATAAGAGAGCAAACTATATATGTATGCTTTATATGTGTCAGTGTGCAAGGAATTGTGCAAGACTATATGAGAGATGTATGTACATCAAAGATGATATTTGATAGAAGATATGCAAAACTTTGTATGTGAGACAGAAGGAAACAGTCCTAAAGGAAAGACACTCTCAAAACTTCATTCCCTAACAAAGCGAATTGTAGCTTTGAACCATGTCTCTTTAATTAGAGTTGCTGTTGATATGAATAATCAAAGGTCTTGATCATGCTATTATTGGCTTTGATGCAATAAATAGAATGGTAATATTTTTGTGAGATGGGAGGTTGTATAGTAAAACACTTGTGTTCCGAGGCTGAACAGTTTGCTGAGGCGCTGTAAGATTATTGTGAAGGGCATAAATACTTAGTAACTTTGCCCCCTACCCCAATTTAGAATTTCTGTAAGAGAAAGAAAAGTAGTGTTAAAGGAAGAAAAAAAGCTATGCTCGACTGGGTTGTAGTGATTGGATTATGCAATATTGATTTACTGTCATAAATTGTGCACAACCAGATTTTGCTGACTGTTGTAAGTTGAGCTTATAACGTGTCAGAAATCCAAATCTGTTTTATTTCTAATATGTGAGTAGAATTTAAATTAATTCAACAGCAATGGCCTCTGTGTTCTTTTCAGTAATGAGAAGTATCATTTACATCACCACTCTGTTCTTTGGATAAATAAATTTTTTAAAAAATAAGGATTGTAATAGCCAGTGATCCAAGGCCACTAACCCTAAGTGGTTCTTATTGCCCGTCCTCTATCTCCCATGGCTCTCATTTCAGGAAACAACTACTTGGTACTAAGTTCTTTCCTTTTACTATTCATTTTGCATTTCAGCTGTTTCCTTCCATTTCCATGTGTTTAATCCACCTTTCCCAGGCTATAGTATCACCTATATTTGATTTATTCTAGGCTTCAGCTTCCCTATTTCTATTTTCTTATTCTTCTTATTTCTTTACTATTCAGACAGAAATGTGTATTGTAGATATAGAATTAATGCATACCCCAAAAGGTACCCAAGAAGCTTGCCATTTTCTCTTCTAGCACAAGGCTTGAGTGCCATGCTAGGCTTTTGGGTTTTTGCTACGATGAGGCTTAAATCCACTCTCTGCTTCTACTCTGAAATATTCCTGAGCTGTTATGTTAACCTTAGAAGACACAGCTACATTGGAAGTTAAGTCCACTGACTGTAATATACTTGATGGGCACTTAGTTGTTCAATTATTCAGTATTGTTCAATATTCAATAAAAACATGGGACCAAATTTTGAGAAGTTAGATGAATAGCTGGAATCTGATGATGAGGATGGATTGATAAAAGAACAAGTAGATGGAAGAAGTTGGAAGGAAAGTAGGTTTGTAGGTGAAGGCAGCAAAAATCAGTTAATTTTCAGTAAAATAGTGTAACTTAGTTGCACTTAAATATTACACATCTACACCAGAAAGATACATTCTATTCACCTCTTCATTATTATTTATCACAGGGATTATGATCAAGAACAGTTTGCTGATAACCAAATACCACTGTTGGTAATAGGGACTAAACTGGACCAGATTCATGAAACAAAGCGCCATGAAGTTTTAACTAGGACTGCTTTCCTGGCTGAGGATTTCAATCCAGAAGAAATTAATTTGGTATGTATTTTCACTAATGCATGCTTGTATTATTATCGGGTAAAGACAAAACTGAAGACATATTCAAATAATATATTCTAGTGAAAGAAGCTTTATACTTGAAATCAGGCTATTTGGATTCTAGTCTAAACGTAGTCAAGATTGGAATCAACATATCTAGACTGAGAGATGTGCACAGTCACTTCAGCCTTTTATGTTGGTCTGTTGGAATGTTCCAACTTTATTCTATGAATAATTTAAATCATAGGCTTCTTTTTTTGAAACAGAGTCTCGCTCTGTCGCCCAGACTGGAGTGCAGTGGCGCGTTCTCAGCTCACTGCAGCCTCTACCTCCTGGGTTCAAGCGATTCTCATGCTTAGGCCACCTGAGTAGCTGGGATTACAGGCATGTACCACCATGTCCAGCTAATTTTTTAAATATTTTTAGTAGAGATGGGGTTTTGCCATGTTGCCCAGGCTAGTCTTGAACTCTTGACTGGATTTGCCCTCCTTGGCCTCCCAAAGTGCTGGGATTACAGGCGCGAGCCACTGCACCTGGCCCATGGGCTTTTTCTTGAGAAAGGTTTTTAAAATCACACCAAAATTAAAATAAATTGATTAAAGTGGCACTATAAGCATATTATTCTTGCTTTTAAAAAGCCTCTTAGCTTCTTAAACTACAAATTTTACCTTAAAGGGCAACGTAACAAATACATGAAAAAATTGCAAACCTTAAACTAGGAGTGCTTCATAAGGACTAATTTATGTACACTTATGCATATATAGAGGATTGAGTCCCTTGATGAGATAACTAGCTCAATGAGAACTGAGCGCGTAAAAAAGCTAAGAAATGGTTGTCATGTAAGCCTGTTAGGATCCCAGAAAAAGATCCTGGCCAGCAATTTCAGTCATGGTCATGTTGTTCACAAATAGGATTTCTGCAACTGTGCACTGGCATTCCAGAAATGCAGTGGTGGTGGTGTAATAGTACTAGTGAGCAACATTTATTGAGCACTTACGGGTTGAAAACTGTTTTAGTTATTTACATACATTATCTCACATGCATCATCTTCACAATCAACTCTATAAGACAGGTACTATTACTATCCTCTTTTTAAAGATAAGAAGGAGAGACGTAACAAGACCAAGGAAGTTTACCCAGGTCAATTAGGGTATTCAGATTCAGAGCCTGTGCTCTACAGTTAAGCCTCTTTTGCACTTAATTAATCCTTCAACTCACCTTGAGAATTTGGCAGCTGAAAAAACTCTTAGAAATCATCTAGACCAACAGTTACCCAAATCTGATTGTGTATTTATATTACCAATAGTACCTATGGAAAATTTTGAATAACCGTCCCACAGCTGGAGCTTTTTATTCATCAAGCCTGGCAGGAGGACCAGGAATCTGCAGTTTTAACAAATAACTCAGGTGCTTCTGATGCCTTTATTCTATGAATCAATGTTTATGAACACTGCTTGGTTCAGCCCCACCTCTACCCCCAGCTTCTGCCTGCCATTCCATTGTTTTTTACATTCTGCTTTGCAGCGGAGAGCCCCTCATTTTTCTCAGCTGCCACAATGGAATATTTGATGTGCATACCCCAGGTAGTCAGCACTGAACCATGATATTCCAAAGGATTCTTGCTATATAGATATATAATATTCTTGTTGAAGAAGTGCTGAGATTACTTTGAACATTATTTCCAAAGAGAAATTTACCATTGAAAACACTTAATTTGTTTCAGCGCTTACTTTAATATATTTTAGAATGTATCTGTTTCTAGTGCCTGTGGGTTTCTCTGATAATCGCGTGCATGTGTGTGTGTGTGTGTGTGTGTGTGTGTGTGTGTGTTATTCCTACTTGCCTTACAAAGCCAAGGCCATCTTTTAACTGTGAGTCAGATGTAAAGGTACTCAGGTAGTGAGACTTTAGCACATACAGTCTCCAAAGAGTTCAAATATAACATGTTTTTGGCCTTTATCAGTGTACAGCTTCAAGAACACAGCACACATAACAATAGGAGAGGGTCAGAGAATGCAGGGAAGAAAAAATGAGGAGGAAAATTGAATACAAGAGTTTCAAAAAGAAATAGCAATCAGAAATTCAGCAATTAAATATAAAGCCTCAAATAAAAACTAATGTAACATTATTAGTGCTAACATCAGTTACTGTATAAATTTCCTTAAAACTGTAGAAAAGTAAGAATTAACAAATGTATACATCAAAGGTGGAATCAGAGTTAATAAATAACTGCCTGAATACATGCAAATTGTTTAAATTATAAATAGGTGAACCATTACTTATTTTCTAAAATCCTGTTAGGCTTATTGTACCCTGTAAAAACTTTTCTCTGTTACGTATTTACTTTGAAGCGATCATATTGAAGTATCTTCCCTAGTTAATAGTCCTTTCTCAAGCTCAGTCAAGCTATTTGGAGCTATTAATTTTCAGGCTTTTCCCTCAGCCATGATAAATGGCAGATGGCTCTTTCAGCTCTAAATTTCTTATCCCAAAAATCATAGTGTTTCTCTAGGCTGGTCGACCTGAAATTATGGAACCATAGAATTAAGGTTTTGGGGGTGTTTTTTTGTTTGCTTGTTGTTTGCTTTAGTTTTTGTATTTAGTACTTCAGCTCTATTTAGAATTGTCTCAAACTTTTGACATTCTGATGACTAGCTAATCAATATCTATTTTATAAAACATTTCTACCACAGATCTAAGGTTTGTCTCTTATATGCCCCAATTGCTGTAGAAATGTGTTCAAACACTATTTCAAATACCATAGTTAGTGCAATGATGTTTCAGTCTACATAATCCATATATGGAATTATCTTTATTGTGGTAAGTGCTTGTTGTGCCTGAAAATTCAATCTGCTAGCATTTTCTTAGATTGAAGAGAGGAGGACTAATATTTTACTACCCAGTATGTCCAGGTATGGATTATTTAATTTTTCACAAAAATCCCGTGAAATAAAATATTGTTATCCCCATTCCACAAATCAGTAAGCCCAAATTTAAAGGTTTAGTACCCTAACCAGTGTTACACAGAGTAGAAATGTTGGGATGGATATTCTGATTTATTGCTTGCTGGCTTTGAAGACCCCTAATTTCTAGTACTCTGTGATCTTTGACAACTTTGTTGTAGCCTCTCTTTTTTGTGGTTTTAGAGAATGTATTATCATTTCTGGCTAAAATTTAAAGTGTGAGCCTTGAAATGTTGCATATGAATAAAATAGGAGGCTTCATTAGAAAGGAATCATGTGGGCCTGGAGATTGCAAAAACAGAATAAATGTAATAATAGTAATTTCAGTAATTTCTAGGGGCACAGAGGGTCTATAGCTAAAAGACAAAATTTCATACTTGCAAAGGAGCTTACATGATAGCCCTTATAGTTTGGTCTTAGGTACATTTCAGGTAAAAATCAAAGTACTCTATCTCTCAAGGTCACAAGTCAATGGTGACAAGCAAAAAAAAAAAAAAACAGCTAGACTGGAATTCCAGCGGATAGTAGGCCTTTTAAGGTTTTAAAGTTATTGTAATGATTAATGTTCCAGATCGTTTTGTCCCTTCTGGGCCCATTTTTTTTCCCTATAATAAAATTCCATCAAAGAGTAGTAATATATCTTTATTATCAAACAATAGTAGTAGATGTTTATTACCAAAAATAATATATCTTTGTGGCCTACCAAAAGATGTAGTACCTTGCATCTAAAGAGAAATCCTTGGCAATTGTTCTGTTTGTTCTTTGCACCTCTAAATCCTTATTTTCTTGCTTTCTCCGATTCATATGAACTGCATAGTACTAAATTAGTTGAGCACTGGTGATTAACTAGTACTAAAAGTGAAATGCTTACTGTTTTTCATGGCTCTCTCTCTCTGGTTTTCGGGGTAAATGTAGGTAGGTCACTCCAGTAGTACCTTGGTTTTGATATTAGTAAAATATTAGTAATCTTGTCTTCCTCTATGAATTATTTGATGATGAATACACTGATTTGGTATACTCTAAAATTGTTTAAATTACAAAGATTAAGTGACCTTATTTTCCTTTAATACTTTCCTCCTTTGTGCACCATAATTTGAAAATTATTTGAATATTTTGTGAGAGTATTGTGCCTAATAGTATTATGCCTACAGAAATATGCAACAGGATAAGTTATGAATAGCAACGAGCTTGGGTTTCCTAACTTTCAATTGTGGATCTTATGTTTTATCTTCTAGGACTGCACAAATCCACGGTACTTAGCTGCAGGTTCTTCCAATGCTGTCAAGCTCAGTAGGTTTTTTGATAAGGTAATGGTTTCAATTAAGTTATTTTTAAACTTAATTTATATATTATGAGAGTTTAAAATTTTTTTGTAGAATCCTATGACCTTTATTTTTTTGTCCAAAACTTCACAGCCTGGAATAATCCTTGTTTTGATCTCTCTTATCTGTTGGTATAATTGCCCAAGGCCTGCTGACGTATTTATTCCATCACCAGTGTTCTCTAAGTAAAGGGCAAAAGCTACTGGATTTAAATGGGGGTTTTAAAAAGATATCTAATTCCTCTCTTTAAAAGAATTTCTACTTACCCATTTTCTAGCTCTTTTTTTCACTTATTCACCCTCCCACCCCCATAAAGGCACTGAACTGAGGAGATTCTGCTTAAAGCCCTGAGTTCTTTTTGCTCTCCTAGCTGTTAATATTCTCTACATAAATGTTACTGTTACCTTTTAAGGTAATGTCTTCTTGATTTCCTAGTGTTTCCCTCTCAGAAATATTTGCATTCCAATTATTGACTCTCTGCTAACATTGTTTTATTGTCCTCAGCTGGAAGGAAAATGTAGAATGACTCAGCATACTGGTAAATTAGAGCACTCTTTGTCTTTCCTTCACAAAGCCATACAACTTTATTGCACATAGTATTGACCAAGTTTAAGTTGTTTGTCCAATGCTCACATTGCATAGTAAGGTAAAACAGGATGTCTTTCTGCATGTATTATTGAAAAAGGTTAATTCCTGTGTTATATTTCTTTTTAAGTGACATCTCCTAAGAAAATCATCTTCCCCATAGCTCTTCTTTATCAATCATTTTTTTCTTTTAACTATTTAGGGATTTAATAATTGGCCCTTTTGTTCAGCATTGGATAAGCCCCACCTTTAGATAATTTGGGATTTAATATTTGGCCTTTTTATCAGCACTAGATAAGCTCCAGCACCCTCCTCGATTAATATTAGGCCACTAGGAAAATTTTGCTTCACTGCAAAACTTCTTAACTGATATGTGGGAAATAGGGTACAGATGTGCCTAGATGCTGATTTCCCTCAGTTCTCAGAGCAGCCAGGGTCCTCAGGGTGGGGGGGTTGGGTGATTGGCAACCGCTTCCATTTTCTCCAGTGTGCTATACAAATATTAGCATTTTCTACGTGTGCCATGACATGAAAAATGTTGTGCAGCACTGCAAGGAGCCAGATTTTTTGCCCACATTGTTTTCAAACTTAAAATATAAGAATTTCCATTTGGTTTAGATCTATGGCCCCATCAATACAAAATTCTGTCCCTTATGAGCAACATCTTATAGATCTGCCCTGACCTGGAAAGATCCCACAGTATGTTGTTTAAATTTAAAATTTTATTAGTTCTAAAATTAAAAAATAAGATATACTAAATTACATCCTAGAGAAACTGGGTTATTGATTGGTATAATCCGAGTTGTCAGGCAAGGCTTTATTTTTTAAAAAATCAGGAGTACACATTGCAAGTCAGGGGTAAAGAATTATGACCAAAACCAAAAAGGTAACTTCTCTTTTATTGCCTGAATCACAACAAAATGTATGTGGGTTAGGAGGTTGGCCAGACCTCCAGACTGAGGTGGTTGCCTGAAACCAAAGGAGCTGACAACCAGATTTCACCCAGTTTTCTATACATCAGTTCTTCCAGAATTTAGCATAAAGATTTATTCTCCAGCCGGGCACGGTGCCTCACGCCTGTAATCCCAATACTTTGGGAGGCCGAGGCGGGCAGATGACGAGGTCAGGAGATCAAGACCATCATGGCTAGCATGGTGAAACCCCATCTCTAGTAAAAATACAAAAAATTAGCTGAGTGTGGTGGCGGGCGCCTGTAGTCCCAGCTACTCAGGAGGCTGAGGCAGGAGAATGGCGTGAACCCAGGAGGTGGAGCTTGCAGTGAGCCGAGATCGCACCACTGCACTCCAGCCTGGGTGACAGAGCAGGACTCCATCTGAAACAAACAAAAAAAAAAGATTTCTTCTCCAAAAGGAAGTCTAACTCCTTCTCCAGCCTCTTTCAACTAGTAGTAATTCCTCACGCTCCAGAATAATCAGATTTTCCTGTCCTGCCATAGAGAGGAAAGGGAATCAGTCTCCTTCTTGGTTTTTGTGGGATTGTTTTAAGATGTACACTAATGATAAACCAACTTTTCTACCTCTGGGGTAAGTGAATGCAACTTTGCCCTGGTGTCTTGTGGCTAAAAATAATCCAGCTATAGTCTCCAAGACAGCAAGAATCTGGATGAATGGCTGTCGCACCAGAGAGAGCAAGCTGGTCTTGGTCTTGGATCTGGATGAATGGTCTTGGTGTTGAATCTGGATGAATGGCTGTGGCACCAGAGAGAGCAAGCTGGTCTGTTCTCATTCAGAGGAACTCTTAGCTGCATAATTTCAGATTTGAATGTCTTAGAGTTCATCTCCAGCTGATCTGTATTATTATCCGATTAACTTTTCTTATCACAGCAGGTCTATGTAAAGAAAATACAGCTATTCCTCAACTTGCGATAGGGTTATATCTCAGTAAACCCCTTGTAAATTGGAAACATTGTTAGTCAAAAATACATTTATTACACCCAACTTACCAAGCATCGCAGCTTAGCCTAGCCTTCCTTAAACATGCTCAGAACACTTATGTTAGCCTACAGTTAGGCAGAATCATCTAACACAAGCCTATTTTATTAAAAAGTTGTGAATGGCTCATGTAATTTATTGAATACTATACTGAAAGTGAAAAAAGTGCCCATTGTATGGGCACTCAAAGTACAGTTTCTACTGAATGCATGTTGCTTTCACACCACCATAAAGTCAAAAAATCGTAGTCAAGCCATCCTAAATCAGAGACCATTTATAATACTTCCTCTGTAACCATTGCAGTTTCTCAAGTGTCAGAACAGAATTTATTATTCTTGAAAATGTTTTTCATCATCTGGAAACATGGTGCTCTTTAGGGTTTACAGCAGTTTTGGGAAAAAATGAAAACATGGTGCTCTTAAACTTATTACATTTGGACATATATTTTGAGGGTTTCTTTTCAATAATGGTGATGGATTTGTGCAGATACATCTGCTGCTTGAACATGTTTTTTCTACTTATCAAATGCAGGTAATTCTGAAACTACTGAAGTAAGGGTGCAGTTAGTTAAAAAAAAGTAGACAATTTACAACAGTCATTAGACTGCTTTTGATGTTGTGTCATCTGTCTATATTGAGGACATATAGAATTTGTCACCACTTACTATAGGGATGTGGTGGTTTGCTATGTTAAACAGTCCCCTCTTTAAGAAATAGACAAGACTATTGTAGCAGGCAAGTGCTTTTTTTATTTTATGGATGCTGTTTAGTACCTTTTGGGACTGACTGCTAGGAAACTTAGAGTCAGATTTGCTGTCATACTCTAAGAATTGCATAGGATCTTATATCATTCTATCATTATTTAGTTTTTGTTATTCATTTATTTTTTGATCTATCATTAATGCGTTTTGGAATGAGGCAGGCTTTTATGGAAATACTCTCACAATTCTGATCTCATTAACACCAGATTTTTAGCTGACTGTACTACATGTCTACTGCTATGGAAAAGATTCTTAGTTTGGATATATTCCTTTTAGTACCATTAGTGGTCGTTGCAGTTAGCCACTTTTTGCAGGTATGTGTGCTAAGCCTTTAAAATCTTTGTTTTTCACAGGTCATAGAGAAGAGATACTTTTTAAGAGAAGGTAATCAGGTTGGTATCTCTTTTCTTGATAAAATAGATTCTTAAATTTTGATAGGTGATTTCCAAATTTAAGTTCAGAAGTAGTTTTAAAAAGTTGGGGAAAGCCCTTTATAGGCACAAGCAACTGATTTCCTTCTATCCTGTTAAATACAAAAGGAGAAAATCAGAACAAAGGGAAAATAAGGATCTAGGAAACAAATATAATCTAGGAATAAGATTACATTATAAAATAGAAGAAGAAAATAATTTGCTTGGGACTCCAAGAGTATACGTTCAGGGTCTGTCACAATACAAATAATTTCTATAAAAGTCTAGTAGGTATTATGAGATTTACCTTCATTCTTTCTGATTTAGATGACACTATCACCAATTTGTTGGGAAATGTTTTCCATTTGGGTAAGATTTATTTTTATTATTTAATCTGTGGTTTTCTGAGTAAAACCTCAGAAAGTTGTTTTTTTAAGAAACAGCAGGCTGACATACAGAAATGGAAAAGAAGGGAAAAATTACTATTAGTATTTGAACTTTTATTGCTTGAGACTTAATGCAATTATCTTTCTTGCCTACAGATTCCAGGCTTTCCTGATCGGAAAAGATTTGGGGCAGGAACATTAAAGAGCCTTCATTATGACTGAATTACACTCATCCTTTGGAAGAGTGAGCAAGCAGTGGCAGTTTTTCACAGCTCATCTTGCTGTGTTCAATTATTACCATCACAGCCTTTTAACAAAATCATCTTAAAATGCTACCCTTCAGCCTTACCCTTTAATGGAAAAATGAAAGGAAGTGACAATACGGGAGGTCCAAACTTTGTCCCTGTTCTCTGTGTTCCTTACCTTTCTGTCCCTGTGTATAGATTATGTAAAAGCCTTGTGTAAATATGAGATGTTGTCAAAATGATGCAGTAAATGAGCAATGACAGTGTACTGCAGAGAAAATTTACTCTTGCCTAGAACTGGAGGGTTTTTATGGGTCTGTAATTTTCCCACACTCATTGCTGAAAGCTTAATTAAGTACTTCAAAAACGTATCTCCATTGTTTTACCTTCTTGAGGGGAACGGTCTTGTTAACCAGCCCTGAGTTGTCTACCCCAAACAATCTCTGTCATTTTCAAAGATGCAAAATGGTGTTATTTAATTGTCTCCACCATTGTCACACACAGGAATGCCTAATAATAGCAACCCTTGTCTCCCTCTTCTCTCCTTTGCAAATGGCTCAGTGACTGGAAGAGGCGGACTAATAGCCAGAGTTAAATATAAATACAAATTAATAATACATAGAGAACAGCAATACCAGAAAAAAAGAATTCTGGTAAAATGATGTGAAAAATTGACAGCTCCCTCACTCTTAAGGTTGCTGCTATATACAGTCTAGGTTTTCTGTTTGGAAATAGGTAGGGTAAAATCTAAGACCTGCACAAGGGCAGTGAGAGACATTTACAGCCTCCTCTCTATTTGTTTTTTTAAGGAAAAGTCAACTCCTGAAATGTCCCTTAGCTATAATCAGAAAACTAAGAATATTATTCTGTGTCAACAATGTATTTATGGAGAGAAGTAAAAATAAGTTCCACAGCAACACATTTACATGAATTATGAACTAGGATTCTTGGATTTCATAATCACTCCAAAGCTTTTTGGGGATGGTGTGTGTGTGTGTGTGTGTCCGTAATTGTTCATCATTACTTTTTTTAACCTATCTTTTTGCTTGCTTAATCTTCTCTGCCCCAGTTCTTCCTGAGTATATGAATTTGATTTCTAAAAACAATTTATTCAACACTCTATCACCCGTATTCTCTCTCTGGCTCTGCTGCAGGTCTCTGCACTCCTGATTTTGCTCCATACTTTTAAATAACAATAATAAATATACAGTTTTCATTTCTCATTTAAAAAATAGGTGGAAAACACCAAATTCACTTTCTGTTCCATTTTAATTAGGTTTCAGAAGTATCTTGGAAATCAAGGTATGCTGCAAGAGGATATTAAAATAAGAATGTTAGAGAGTCCTTTTAGAAAGGCAGTCTTGGGAATTTGGAAAAGGATTTTTAAAGCAGCTTTCATCAGCTAGACTGTTCTCCAGCCTTTCTTTACTTCCTCTTTGAAAGGACATAGCCCTGGTTTCTTTTTGACACAAAGGAAAGCTATGCAAATCATGATCTGTATGTAGAATTGGTCACAAGTATGTTGTTGCATAGGCTGTACAGTTGGGAAGTAGAAACCAAATGCTACCCAGAGACCTAACCCAATTAAGCTCTTTGTATTTCTCCTTCAAGAAATAAATCTTCCTTCCTTCTTTCTTCCTCTTTCTTTTAATTTTAAAAAAATTCATCCTGATTTTTTTATTTTCTATCTTATTTAAAAAATAAAAATAGGCCAGGCGCGGTGGCTCACACCTTTAATCCCAACACTTTGGGAGGCGGGTCGATCACTTGATATCAGGAGTTTGAGACCAGCCTGGCCAACATAGGGAAACCCTGTCTCTACTAAAAATACAAAAATTAGCCAGGCCTGGTGGCACGCGCCTGTAATCCCAGCTACTTGGGAGGCTGAGGCAGGAGAATCACTTGAACCTGGGAGGTGGAGGTTGCAGTGAGTCAAGATCGTGTCACTGCACTCCAGCCTAGGTGACAGAGTGAGACTCCAACTAAAAGAAAATAAATAAATAAATATATAAATATATAAATAAATAATAAAAGTAAACTATTGCTGATGACTCCAGGGTCAATCTGGAAAAATTAACAGTATTCCTCAACTCCATTACTTTCTGCAGCCAAGCTTGATTCCTTGAATTATAGTTTTCTAAGAAAAAATAGTTTTTAATAATCTAAGGTAAATTTGTTGCAATTATTAGCAGCAGCATAATAAGGCTTTTTGCGCAAATGAATGTTATTAGCTAGAGTTATTCAAAAAAGAATGAAGCACAATTTTTGCTAGGACTTCTTGAGAACTATTCATAAAAATGCTTTTAGATAATAAACAAGTATAAATGTCAAAATATTTTTTTAAAAGTATAATTGGCCAGGTGCTGGCTCACGCCTATAATCCCAGCACTCTAGGAGACTGAGGCAGGAGGATCACTTGAGCTCGGGAGTTTGAGGCTGCAGTGATTCATGATTGCACCACTGCCTTCCAGCAGCCTGATGACAGAGTGGGACTCCATCTCTTTACATATGTATATCTTACTCTCTTGATGGGACAAGTTGGTAGAAATAAAGATTTTTTTTTTCTGTTGTGATTTCGGTGTCTGACCAATTTTCTGACTCATTGTGAAGGTGACCAGATATGAAGGCATATATATGACTACTCCTCTGTCCCTTAGGTGTATAAGACTTAGCTGGAATCCAACTAAAGATTTGGGCTGGTCTCTCCATCTTAACGTTGATGGGATTCAGGACACATAACCCCAAAATATTGCACCCTGTTATTTGAGAAAACTGCAGAAGCAAGGTTTCTCATACCTTCCCCTTACCCCTTCTCCCCTGAAGCAGGCCATAAACCCTAAGTGACTGTTCCCTGAAGTAGATCATAAAACCTTCATTCCATAGGTACCCTTTATCCTCACAGATACAGAGACACCAAGAAGAATCTGGACAAATAGGACTTGCTAAGTTCTCCACAGTTTATTACCATTAGATTATGTCCTTTTGTCCTCTGATTATACTTCTGCATAAGACTGTACATAAAAATACACAAGTTTTCCTATTTCTTTTTTGTCTTCATTTCTGAAGATTCCTGTCATGTAAAACTTACAGTAAATAAATGTGTGTGCTTTTCTCAATAATCTGTCTTTCGTTATAGGTGCCTCATTTGTGAACCTAGTGATGGGTGAAGAAAGAAAGCTCTTCTCCGCTACAGTGCTCTAAGAAAAGCTATTCCCAAAAGAGTTGATCCATATTAGCTTTAGCTCGGGTTCTTAGAATTCCTCAAACTTGAGGCATTCATGATATAATCCAGGTGCCCTGACACTTGTTTTTCTGTTCATTCTGACATGGACTTCATGGAAATGATGTGCAGGGACATCAGACTGAGGTGAAGAGCTCCTAATTGCTCCTTGTAATCAGAGTTTCTGAGTCCTCATTTCAATAGTTTGCAGTAGCACCCACCATAGGTAGGACCTTGTATGGGTTACTAGATGGTGGCTTAATTGAATTTTTTAAAGCACAGGTGACATCATATTTTAAGAAGTTTAAAGGTCTAACAGGGTGTCTGCATTGGTTTAATATATGTTAAAATTCAAAGGAGGAGTCTGTTTTGGGGAAAGGAGGAGAAGGAAATTAGAAATTCATTTCTCCGCAGTCCCAAGACTGAGCTAAATCACTGTGGTGGGAGAGGAAGGGTCGCAGGAAGTCTAACCCTGTGTCTCAAATATTTCACAACATGTTTGCCTACACAAAATATCTGATGTTAGGGTCAGCTGGGGCTGCTCCATAGCATAGTAAAGGAATTGGACATCCAGTTACAATTAATCTGCACCTCCATTAAGGACTCACATGGAGGGCTTTCAAACTCTGAAGTGTGTAAGAATCCCCTGAAGTGCTTGCTGAAAATGCAGATTCCACGATTTCCTCTCTCTTCCCTTACTCTCCCCTTTCTATATGTATAGGATAAGGCCAGGATTTTGTATTTTTAACAGACAAGCCAGATTTTTCTCATGCAGATAAGTCAGGATCTAGCCTTTAAGAAAGACAAATAAACTCATCAAAAAGTAGGGAATATAGATTGTGAACTCTGTACTTTATGAGTGCCATTATAGCAGAATTCATCAAAGCGCATCTTTGACTGCCTCAACCTGATCTCACCTTAATGAACTGATCCACTCCTCCCCACTCAAAGCTACATATGCCAAATTAAACATGAGATGATTGTCATGTCTTCTGTTGGCAAAACAAGTATTTGTCTTTCATGTATTGCTATCATTTTTATTACTGCCACTGTTTTTCCCCTGGGTTCTGTTTTTAATCCAAATATATTTATTTCTAACCAGTGCCTTGCCATCTTACACACAGCCCCCTCTCTAGTACTGTGTTTTCTCAGCTGGCTAATCACTAAGCTTTACCGAGGTCATCAATAACTAATGACAAAGAATGGAACCCCTAAACTCCAACCAAGGTGTAAAACCTCGCTCAGTACCATCAAGTATATCAGGTAATCTCTCCGTTCCATCTTTTTCTCGGAGACATCTGTCCTGGAGTCCTCTGATGCCTAACTCCGTTTTGGAGTGATTACTCTGTAGACCTGTCACACCCTGCTTCACATTACCTTGTAGCAATTCCTGGATGTAATGTTTTCCACTTTCTATCCAACTCTTACTCTATGGGACTTGGCTCAGACATAGTCTTCTCTGGGAAGCCCTCCCTGGCTCTGCTCGTCTGGGCTACGTGCCCACTAGTGCTTCCCCTAGATCCCTGGGCTCTTTCCTGTCAGAGCACTTACACTATGTTGTGATGGTTTTCAAAAATTGTTAAATAAATGAATGTATAATTACATTAATTAAAATGGAAAGCCATTAGACATAGAATCAGAACTTATCTGTAGCTGTGTAAGTTATTTATTCTCCAATCCCAGCAGGACATGATGGCTTATGCCTGTAATTCCAATACTTTGGGAGGCTGAGGCCAGAGGATGGCTTATGCCTGGGAGTTAAAGGCTGCAGTGAGCTGTGATGATGCCACTGCACTCCAGCTTGGATGACACAGCAAGACTCTGTCTCTAAAAAAAAACATTAAGTCAGGTGCAGGAGTTCACGTCTGTAATCCCAGCACTTTGGGAGGCTGAAGTGGGAGGATTGCTTGAGCCTAGGAGTTCAAGTTCAGCCTGGGCAACATGACGAGACCTCATCTCTACTAAAAAATTTTTAAAGTAGCCGGGTGTGGTGGTGTGTGCCTGTAGTCCCAGCTACTCAGGAGGCTGAGATGGGAGGATCGCTTTAGCCCAGGAGGTTGAGGCTTCAGTGAGCCATTTTTGTGCCACTGCACTCCAGCCTGGATGACAGAGAACCTGTCTCAAAAAAAAAATTAAATAATAAAATAATATTTTAATATCCCCTGTGTGTATTCTCTCCTTTTAGAAGGAATCCCTAAAGTTTAGTGAAAGATGTATTCAACTTTAAATATTTTCAAGCCCCTCAAAGTAATTTTAATCCAGTCAAGGAACTGTTAACACTTTCTTACCCCTTCAGAAGTCTCTCATACCTTAGGAAAGAACTGAAACACTTCTTAAATCTGCCTTCACAACTGGTTCAATGGAAGTAACATAGAAAGTTTGTTGAAAAATAAGGCAGTAAAGATTTCCCTTTGTCTTTTATTAGCTCCCATTTGTTTATCTAATGACCAACTGCTAACTTCCAAGATCAATAGAGATTGAAGGCCCAAGGTACTCATAAACTTAGATACACAGGAGATATTTTCTTCGAATTCAGTTTCAGAGTCTGCATGTTATAGGAATAGTGAAAACTTAGCCTCAATAAAGCTAGGGCCTCCACCTACCTTCCTCCTAGGTTTGCATATGAATTCCAGAATAGTTTATATAATGCCACAATGCCATCTGTCTATGCTGACATATGCTGAGGTTTCCTATCAGCTGCCCGGTCCGTAGGCATCAGTCCACATGGTTTGCTACCAGCATGTTTCCTATCAACATGTCCCCTTTGGTCTGGCCCAGTCTGTGCTAGCACCTCATACACAGGCAATAATTCTGCTGCTACTGCAGTATGCTGGAGCCTGGGGACCCTTGGAGGTTGTTTAAGCCCATTTATCTAAAGCAGAGGGTCTCAAACTAGCAGCCTGTGGCCACTTCAAATATGCACATGTTTTTCAACCTGCATGATTATATCAGTTATTTATCACTGCTTAACAAACCACCCCAAAATTTAGTAGTGTGAAATACACCATTCTATTTGTTCCCAATTCTGTGGCTCAGCAGTTCGGGCCAGATTTAACTGGTGGTTCTTCTGCTGGTCTTGCCTGGGATCACACATGTTCTGCAGTCACCTGGCAGCCAGACTGCCTCATTCACATGTCTGGCAGTTCCTGTGGGGCTTGCAGGGCTGTTGCCTGGACCTCTGGAGGCCAGCCCAGCTTCTCTGCACTGTGGTCTCAGGCTGCAAGAATGGGCCCTGTCCTAAGGCACAGGCATGTTTCAAACTCTGTGTCATGTTTGCTACTAGCCAAAGAAAAAGACCCTACCTCTTGATGGGAGGAACAGCAAAGTCACATTCAAAGGGGCACACATACAAGGATAGGAGGAATTGGAGCATTTTTTGCCATCTACCACAGGGTGGTTTCTCTGTCTCTCTCACTCTAATTACCAATGGTTAAAAATTGGAGCTTCATCTTATCTTGAAAAATCAGCTAGCCTACTTTATTCACTTACACTTCCTCCCTCATCTGTTGGCATTTGAGTTGTGATAATGCCTAATTTACAAGATTGTTTTTGTGAAGTTAGATATGGAAAAATCTGACAAAAGCAGAAACTCAATATATGTTTTCTCCTTTCTGAACACCACTAGTCATGAAGCTGCTACCTGCCAATGACCAAGGAGAGCGGCCAAGATGAAGAACAAGGGAGTCATAGAGGAGGTGGCTGGAGAATAATCCCTTGGTCTGTTTTAGAAGTATAGAGGCATTAGGAAACAAAACTCTTAAAGAATTTATAAGAAAACTAAACGTACTTTAAGAAATTAAAAGGAGCAGTAGGAAACATATCAGTTTGCTCTAAGTGAAATATCTCAGGCTCTGAATGGTTCACCCAAGAACCTGAGCTCATTCCTGGGAGGCACCTGCAGAAAACTGGTTCTGGTCCTGGTCCCTGTCTTCAGGTGGCTGTGTGTAAACATCTTACCCCAGTGTACACATCTGCAGCTGGTAAATGCCTGGGGGTTTTCTCACTGCTCTCCAGGAGACTCAGCACTGCCCTGTTCCTTCCTAGCCTGAGTCAGGACTGAGCAGAGAATCCTCCACCACACACAGCAGGCACTATCTGCCACAGTTCCTTTCCCCGATAGCTTCAAATTCTCTGCCTTTTGAAATAAGCCTACTTTTAACTGGAATAAATAATTGGTCAATCTCTACCTCAGGTGAAGAGGAACCAAGCCTCTGGAAACACTTAGGAACAAACTGTAAAAACCAAAGGCAATTGTGTAACCGGTTAAATAAGCTTGCTGGACTTTGTCCCTGTGTATGAGTTAGACAATTCTTTCAGCTAGTTTGAGTGACGCACTGACCAGTGAAGCGCAGTGAAGCAGTGGGAACCGGAATATCCAAAGAGTGGTTTGAAGGAGAAAGAAGCATTGTGGCTTTATATCCTCTGGGCCTGGGTTTCCTGAAGTCACCACACATAGAGGAGAGAGAAAATGGCTGAGTTAAAGGTAAGAAACCATCTGACAAGTTTGCTATGGCTTCTTCAGCCAAAATTTATGGAAGTTTCTGAGAACTTCAGGGTATCAGAGTTGGAAAAGACTTAGAGAGGCCCTGGTTCAAACCCCTGTGTTCAGAGGCTTCCCTGTGGTGTCTGTGGGCACAGCTGGAGCTGAAGAACAAGGGAAAGGTGATAAAGGAAAGAAATGAAGCTCTTATTGGTCATCCCTTGCCTTTGTTCATTTCAATTATTGTCTTGGAAATCTGTAGACATCCTAAGAGCTCCCCTCCACTACGGACATGCACGTTTCTCTCTATGTCTTTTTCCCAACCCCTGCTCTGACACCTTCCCATTGCTGCAGCCTCATGGACCACTTCCGGTGACCAGTTAGATATGCTTGATCTATTTAGTTAATTAAGGCTCTGAATCAGCCCTTGGCCAGAAGAAGCACCTCCTCTAGGAAATCATTCCTTCTTTTTAGTAATACGCAATTGAAAAGTATGTGTGGGTTATGTGCTGTTAGGTGCTAAGCATTTTAGCTATGAATTAACTCATAATCCTCAAAATAAATCTGGGGTATAGAGAGAGGTTCTTGTTTCAATTAGAAAAGTAATGCTTGGAGAGACTATGATTTGCCCAAGGTCACTGCCAATAGATGACTTGATTAGAAGCAGGGTATGTTTGAATGCGAAGTCCAGGCTCAAAAAGGGGCCTTAGTGGCTCCTACTAGACTGGTATCTTAAGGCAAGGAAAACAGAATATGTCCCTAATATCTAAAACCATGCCTAGTGCCCAGGCCAGGCTTGAATCAATGCTCAACGCATGCATGTGTAACTGAACAGAACTGCCCAGAACCTTGGCTCAGGCCAAGTAGGCCAGACCACCCCACAACAGACATCTTCCCTGAATGCAGGGTTTGAGAAGTGCCCTAATGCCCTCTAACTGATGCTGAGTTTGAAGAATCCATCAGTTAAGGGGAGGTGTTTCTGAGTTTGAAGAATCAAACACCTTCCTAATTGGTAGGAATCCTGAAAACACTCCACACCGGAGTAAAAGACTTTGGTTTTTTATCTTTATGCCTGACTAAAAGTTAACTCTCATTCTTTCATTCAGCAAATATTTTGTGCTAGTGCATGACACTGCAGATTAATATCGTAGATGAACTGAGTCTGGGCTAGGTAGAGTCAAAAAAAAATTTCCTAAAGGAGCCTGTACCTAAACTGAGTCTTCAGAGAGAAGTTGGAACTGGCAAAGTGAGGAAGGACGGGGTCTGGAGGGAAGAGTGAGTGCAAAGGCACAGCACATACAGAATGCCTGCATGCTCTAGAATCCAAAACTGTGTCAGCCAAATTTGAGTTGATGGAGGGACAGCCAAACTGAGATACCCAGGCGGTGGTTGGATTTATGGATCTGGATTTCAGGGGAGTGGGCAGGGCTAGGGGAATAGAACTGAGGGTCATGATGTCAGTGGTAGGAGTTGAAGTCTTGGAAGAAAGAGTAGATAGAAACTTTGTTTTCTGATGAACATTCTATGAGGAAGTTCAGCAGAGGTTGGAAACATCTTTACCATTTATAAATAAATTTTATGTAAAATCCTATCCTGCTGTCATGTTTAAGCAACTTATTATGCACAGCACCAGGACATCAATGTAAATTGCATGCCAGTCTTTGCTCTCAGTTTCAAAGGCATTCTTCCCTGCCTGCTGTCTAATCTTTACAAAGAAAGGTTAACTCCAGAGGTCAGGAATCTGAACACAGAAAACCAGATTGCATCATATTCATTCTAATCAATAAACATTATATAATTTTTAAAACTGTTTCTCATCTTTTATTTCTTCATTTTAATGAATATGTCAACACAAAGCCGTAAATGAAATCACATTTACACAAAAGTACAACTGGGGTAAGAAAATTCAAAAGATAAAGTAATAAAATTAAATTTAAAATGAAATACCCTATGTATTTGAGTAAGTTGCTTAGCTTCTCCCAACCTTGGTTTCCTCATTTCTAAAACGAAGAACTTGCTTAATATTCAGGCTCTGGGCCCCACCACCAAATCCTTGATTCACTGGCTCTGGGTCTGTATGTAACAAGCTTCTGGAGTGATTCTAATGATTAGCCAGAGACAGGACCTACTATTCTACGTAACTGATTTCCTCTTGCTGCTGTAAAAAATTACCACAAATTTATTGGCTTAAAACAACACAAATGTATTATCTTGAAGTTGTGGAGGTCAGAAGTCTGAAATCGGTTTCACTGGGCTAAAGTCGAGGTGTCAGTGTGGCTGTTTCTTCTGGAGACTCTATGAGAGATTGTGTTTTCCTGCCTTTTCCATGGATTCTGTTTCCTCTTCTAGAGGCTACCCACATTCCTTGGTTTGTAGCCTCTTCCTCGATCTTCAAAAAAATGTATCTCTGCTTTTGTAATCACGTCACATTTTCTCCTCTTATAAGTCAAATCTCCCTTTGCCTCCCTCTTATAATGACACTTGTGATTACATTTAGGATACACCCAAATAATTAGGATATCTCCCCATCCCAAGATCCTTAATTATATATGCAAAAGTCTGTTTGGCTAGAAAAGATAATACTCACAGGTTTCAGGGGTTAAGCCATACATATCTTTCAGAGTGAGCCATTAGCCATTATTCAGCCTACTGCGATAATGTGCAAGTTCCCTTTACAATCTATGTTCTATGTTCCCATCAAGGTTAATTAGAAATATTAGACTCTTTTTCCACAGAAAAAAAAAATGTAGCAGTAGTTTCATCTCTACCCTGACTTCTCTCTCTTTCCTTCATGCCCAGTAAGAGGAAGTGAGGTGCACCATCTGTTCATCTCATCAGGTGTTACCTAGAATCAGAGTCAGGAGAAAGCACCTCATAAAACTACTCTGACAAGTAAACCATATCCTGGGGACCAGGTGAGAATTAAAAAGCTGTATACTCATAAGCTGCCAAAGAGCTGATGGTACTGAAGTCACATGGAGCTCAGGAATTTATTCTTGCATTTAGAAAGTATGCATATAATTCTCTCGAAAAGAAATGAAATCATATTTTTCTGTCGGATCAAATTATTCAGAAATCCGAACTGTAGAAAACATACAAACACACTTGCTTAATGTTAGCTTTTTAATCTTATTTTTGTACACAGTATACTTTTACATAGGCACTGAACCAGCTGGAAATGAATGCTTGGATTTTCGCAGCTGATAAAAGCAGAGTTCAGATTCTGTCCTTGAGCTCAATGTCTGGAGAAAGCAGCTGTGAATACTGCTTCCTTAATTCAGATGCCTTTGGCCGTGAGGGGCATGGCATTTTAAAGCTGCAATAAACTCTGTACTTTTTCTCTCAGGGGATTAGAAAAACCAATTGATTTGATAGTGACTCAGCAGTTTTCACCTTCCTCTTTAGCCAATGCCCTGCAGCTAAGATTGAGAAACGGATTCAGAACTCACACCTCTTGGTGCTTGGTGGCTCCCTTCCAAACCATCAGCTGTTCTTTCTACTTTCTTTCCTATTTTTTAAAGCACAGTCTGAATCAAGTGCTTCAGAACCATTTATACTAACTCGTGTTCCAAACACATAACCCTGAACCCTCTTCTAAGGCCACCAGTTACAAAGAATGGGGAAGGTTAATGAGTAACTCCACCAGTGCCTGCCAGAAAGCTCAGCTGTACTCCAGCCTTCCTTCCTCTCTTGCAGAGAGAAACAATGCGGCAGTTGAACAAAGCGAAGGCACTGTAATGCCCAGTGGCTTCAGTCACAGGCTGGTCTAAAATTCCATTTCACAGAATTGAAGATAATTTGGGGTTATTACCAATTCTCAGCAGCTCAAATTCAATCCCGTTGATGGTGAGCATGGGGTTCATTTTGAGAGTAGAAAATTGGATGCAGTGGAGAATCAGAATGTTGGATGGTCTCTGCCATTTCCCCAAAGATATCATCCTAACTGCATGCTGCTGCTTTTAACAAATCAGTATACAACTTAGTATTTTTTGTGTTGACAAATTTTCAAATATACAAAATATTGAGTCTGAAGGCAAAAAGAATAATTTTTCACTTCCATTGCTTCCTAGGTCATAACATTCACATCTGATATTTCTTCCAAATACAGACTGTTGTTGGCCTGATCATCACTCACACATCCAGGCTTGTTACATCTCCACGCCACTGAGTATCAGGGAACCTGCCCCAATATTCACGTAGGTTCTTTTCTATTTTCCCTAAGCGTCGGCCAACTTTAGAAATAAAGGGACAGAGTACAAAAGAGAGAAATTTTAAAGCCGGGCATCCGGGGGAGGCATCACATTTCGGTAGGTTCCGTGATGCCCCACAAGCCACAAAAACCAGCAAGTTTGTATTAGGGATTTTCAAATGGGGAGGCAGTGTGCAAATAGGTGTGGGTCACAGACATCAAGTACTTTACAAGGTAATAGAATATCACAAGGCAAGTGGAGGCAGGGTGAGATCACAGGACCACAGGACCGAGGCGAAATTAAAATTGCTAATGAAGTTTCGGGCACCATTGTCATTGATAACATCTTATCAGGAGACAGGGTTTTTAGGATCAACTGGTCTGACCAAAATTTATTAGGCGGGAATTTCCTCTTCCTAATAAGCCTGGGAGCGCTGTGGGAGACTGGGGTCTATTTCACCCCTGCAGTCTCGACCATAAGAGACAGGCGCACCTGGAGGGGGGCTGTTTATAAGCCTATACCTCCTGGCTCGTATTCTCTTTCTCAGGGATGTTCCATGCTGAGAAAAAGAATTCAGCGATATTTCTCCCATTTGCTTTTGAAAGAAGAGAAATATGGCTCTGTTCTGCCTGGCTCACCAGCAGTCAGAGTTTAAGGTTATCTCTCTTATTCCCTGAACAATTGCTGTTATCCTGTTCTTTTTTCAAGGTGTCCACATTTCATGTTGCTCAAACACACATGCTGTACAATTTGTGCAGTTAATGCAATTATTACAGGGTCCTGAGGCAATATACATCCTCCTCAGCTGACAGGATTAAGAGATTAAAGTAAAGACAGGCATAAATCACAAGGATATTGACTGGGGAAGTGATAAGTGTCCATGAAATCTTTACAATTTATGTTTAGAGATTGCAGTAAAGACAGGCATAAGAAATTACAAAAGTATTAATTTGGGGAACTAATAAATGTCCATGAAATCTTCACAATCCACGAACTTCTGCCATGGCTTCAGCTGATCCCTCCGTTTGGAGTCCCAGACTTCCCGCAACAACTGAGAACTCTGGAGGGCCTACCCTTCACCCACTTCCACCCTTCTTATATCTCTTAAGGAGCTGTGTTCAGATGGTTACATTTCGCTTGCTGAGCAAGACTGCATTTTCATTATCCTGGGCTAAAATCAATTGGTATTTAAGTTAGAGCAAAAAGGGTTCTAACCCTATTTACAGCAGCACACATACACTTACATTAGAATTGGCTTTAAGGGAAAAATTCAATCAATCGACAAATTTCCACTGATTACCTTCTATGAGCCAAGACTGCCATAGTCTCAGCCTTCATGCAGCTTATAGGCTAGCAAAAAAGCCAGACAGTGCACAAGAACTCACAAGTGTGTTGAGTGTTGCAAGAGTAAGTTTCAGGGGCTCTCCATGACTTACCTGGTTGAGAAACCCTTTAACTTTTTTTTTCCTCTGGGTGTAAAGTGAAGAGATGGCAATCAGAGTAGGTTCCATTGTGTCATTGTGAAAAGATGCTGGGCTGGCGTGTCTCCTGAAGGCCACCCATATCTTTAAACTTTATTTTCATGCATTCGCACAAATATAGATGTGTTCCATAGATGAGGCAGATAGCAGAGGCTTCTGCCTACAGCAAGGCTAGTTTGGAGAGGGTTTTGCTGTCAGGGTTGGACCCACACACCTCTTCATAGATGCTTTTTCTTTTTTTTCCCAGAGTTTGAAAGGGAAATGGAGTCTCAAGTTCAGGGAGGTTACAGTGTAGACCCACAAATCAGCTAAGTACAGCTAAGGGTGGAGAAGTCTATGCAATATCCAGCACTCTTCTGATTAATTAGAAGTCTTTAAAATTCACAGAAACCATATTGTCTTCCCTAAATGATTCATATGTCAAGACACAGTAAAGATATTATATGTGGAACATCATACACAAACATAGGTCCATATAGAAATTCTTACCTTAGTAAACTGCCAATTTTCTGAAATGCTCTTTAAATCCTGCTAATGGTGGCATTTGTGTCTTTGTCACCTACAGTACATTTCTGGATTTGGGAATGAGTGTTCTTCAGAGGATCCTCGCTGCCCAGGTTCCCTGCCAGAAGGACAGGTATGAGCAAATAAAGTGCTTAGAAGAGCTCTGAATCCTATTCCTGGATGACTAGCTTTCAGGCCAAAGTGCCTCCACCCACCGTGGCTCTTCCAATCTAGCCTGTGAACTGTCTAGAGGTTTCCCAAGTCATAGGGGCAATGAAGATACAGAGCAATGACAACACAAAGATTAAAATTGGATTGGTGGCACAGCAGCCAATCCAAACTAGTGAAATTAACTGTAGGGTTTCCAGTAGGATCCCCAAAAATCCAGAGTTAAAGAGAATCCCTCATATTCCCCTTGAACACCATGGATGTGAGCATTATGATAAAATAACAAGGTGCTTTCACATGTATGCACAAAGATGTTCATACTAGTGCTGGTTAGAAAAGCAACAACACGGGAAACAAAAATATTTTCAAAACTTTTTGCAGGCCGTATCATAGCATAAAAAAATCCTCATTTCTTAAAAAAAAAAAGGAAAAAATGCCTGATTATTACAGGGTTACAGGTATGATAGGGTCACAATTTTGGAGGAT